>NT_167249.2:2847889-3040886 GCF_000001405.40 Homo sapiens | reverse complement strand
GCCCTGGCCAACATGGTGAAACACCGTCTGTGCTAAAAACACACACAAAAAACTAGCTGGGTGTGGTGGCACACGCCTGTAGTCCCAGCTACTCGGGAGGTTGAGTCAGGAGAATTGCTTGAACCCAGGAGGTGGAGGCTGCAGTGAGCCAAGATTGCGCCACTGCACTTGAGCCTGGGTAACAGAGCAAGACTCTGTCTAGAAAAAAAAAATATGTGTGTGTGTGTGTGTGTGTGTGTGTGTGTGTGTGTGTAACACATCTGCAATCCCAGAGAGCAGAGGAATTCATGGTTCCATCCCCACCTCTCTGGAGAAGCTTGAGGCTCTCGTGGTCTGGGGCATCTGGCATGAAGTGGATAGTGGAGTCACTAGTATCATAGTAGGCAATGCCCAAGTATCCTGAATTCCACAGCACACACAGATGGATCTGTCCAGCAAGGAAGAAAGGAAATCACTATTAGAATCACTCATAAGTGTAGGGTTTACCATGTCTTATATAATTTAATCATTTTCTCAAATCTCTGAGATAGGCATCATCACCCCCATTTAGTGAATGTGAAACAGCCACTCAGGAGGTAAGAGACTTGCCCAGCTCTTCCCAACCCTGTTTTTTTTTTCTTTCTTTCTTTGAGACGGAGTCTTGCTCTGTCGCCCAGGCTGAAGTGCAGTGGAGCAATCTCAGCTCATTGCAACCTCCGCCTCCCGAGTTACAGTGATTCTCCTGCCTCAGCCTTCCCAGTAGCTGGGATAACAGGCACGTGCCACCACGCTCGGCTAATTTTTATATTTTTAGTAGAGACGGGGTTTCGCCATGTTGCCCAGGCTGGTCTCCAACTCCTGAGCTCAGGTGATCCGCCCGCCTCAGTCTCCCAAAGTGCTAAGATTACAGGTGTGAGCCACCGCGCCCGGCTCCCAACCCTCTTTTATTCTAACTTCCCATCAACTCTCCATTCAAGTTTCTACTCCCCTCAGAGACCTCGGCCAGCTCCTCCTCCTCCTCGACTTCCTCCTCCTCGGCCTCCCTGGGGCCCGGCACTGGGGCCGGGCTGGGGAAGCCGGAGGAGGCCGCCCCAGGTCTCGGTCCCTGCGGTGTCCTCCTTGGGTTCGCTCCTAAGGAGGCCATGAGCTTGGAGGCTCTGCGGATGCAAAAAGTGAGGGCGGTTCGGAAGCAACGATTCACAGAGGAGGCCGGGGTAGGGTGGCGCGCAGAATGCAAAGCACTAAGTACTTCTGCTACAGGGCTGCGGGGCAGGGCTGAGGGGCGTGGAGAGCTGTGGACACAGGAGGTGAATTCTCGGGTATTTAACTAAAGTACAGATTGTGGGAAACTCCACGCGCCCCACCCTCATTCCTGTCACGCGGAGGTTACCCTTTGGAAGGAAGGGGTCTGAGGGCCCTGTGGGGCGAGTCGTGCACGTCTTATGTCTCTGCCTCTGCCAACCACGCGCCAGGACCCCAGCCTCACGCGCTTATCTTCCTCCTCCCCCAGCTGCCGCCATCGCAGCGTTTTCCCGCCTTTTCAGTAACCTGAGTCGCTACAGGTGGGAGAACGCCCCGCTGACCGACCGCCACGAGCCTGCAAAAGGAGCGCGCCGGCGCGTGAGCGAGGTGCGCGCGCACGCGCCCCGCCCTCCTAGCCGCTGTTGATTGGAGAGGCCCGGATCCAGCCTAGAGATCCGACAGGGCGAGGAGGAGAAGCGGACTGCCGTAGCTGAAGAGTCTGGACGCTGATTGGCCTATTTGCCTTCGGGGCGGGTCCAGAACGTTCAAACTTCCCGCCCTCTGCCGTTGCTTAGCAGCCGGGCCTCTAGCACTCACTGTTTCTGGGATTTGATTGGCGCAGTGGGAAGCCCGCGAGAAGGTCGGACCAGGGTCCGTAGTCCCAGTCCCTGGAAGGGGTTTGGGACCGTTGCGGGGGTTTTGAGGGGGAGGCCAAACTTAAAGAGCCAGAGGCGCTTATTTTTTTTCCTGCAACAACTCTTAAGTTAATATTTGTACCCTCTGAGTTAATATTTATACAGAGCTTAGAACAGTGCCTGGCAAACAAAGTAAGACCTAAATGAGCGGTGTTTCAAATAAATAAGCGGAAACAAGCAGGACTTCTGTCTCAGCCCTACCGTGCCTGTTTCCTGGGTACAGGGTATGACCACCCCCATAATGGCACGACAGGGCCTAATTTATTATTTAAACCCTTCAAGCAGAGGTGGAAGCATTCGAATTACATCAAATTCTGGCAGAGAGAAGTAGTTCTGATCAGAACACTCACACCCCTACTGGGACATGCCCATACCCCTTCGCACTTCTACACACCCCTGAAGACAGAGAGGTATCTATCATTCATGCATTCGGCAACTATTTAGTGCCTATTTTGGGCCAGGGGTTGGACTCAAAGCGGTGAACATAATGAAGTCACTGCTCCATAAAGCTTATTTGTGCGTCTGTGTGTGTGTGTGTGTGTGTGTGTGTGTGTGTGTTGCGGGGGTGGGGTTATGAGGGAGAAAGAAAAAAAAAAAATATATATATATATATAATCCCTTTAAATGCACCATCCTCCCCAGCTTTGTTCCTAGTACCCTGAGATGGGGAGATTCCTCCCCAGCCCCCCAACCCAAGAAGTTAGGAAAGATGGTGGGGGTGAGATGACCTAGCTGTGCTAACCAGTAATTGGAAAATCCCCTCCAGCAAGAAAGGTGGGGGAACAGAGTTAAGGGCTGGGTTAATGGTTACCCCTGGCAAATCTGTTGAGCAATGGAGCTATAGAAACTTGGAGGAGGTTGGTGACAGCTCTGGGGAGTGTCAGGGAGGGACCCACCTTCCAATCTGGGGTGTGAAGAGATTAGGGACTAGTTTACCAAGCCCAGGAAGGGGAGGGAGTGGAAAGAGAAGCCCAGAGAGGGAAAGAGGAGCTACTGAGATAGGAGAAATGCAGGGACAGGGAGGTGAGATGGAGGGAAACCTCTGTTGCAGGATTTGGGGGTACAGCCCTGGCTCTGCTGGATGGTTCCAGGAGAGGGCAGCGTTGCCTGTCACCTGGTAAATTAAGGCACGATACCCTGTGGGTAGTCATGCCAGCCAGCCAAAGTCAATATTGATATCAAGGCAGCTGTAGCTATAAAGCTGTAGGAGAGAAAAGAGAGGCCGGGAGAGGCTGCCAAACCTGTTTGATCTTCAAGCTGGCCCCATTTACCTAAGGCTTCTCTTGGACACAGACCAGTTGGAACAGGAGAGGACCCTGAGAAGTAGAGTTGTTTTGATCCCCTCCCCTCAATGGGAAGGGGTCCTGTGTGCAGATTTTGAGGGTCACCATGAGGGAATTCACACCCACACAGAGGCATGGAATCATACCCTTACAGGATGTTACAGTTCAAGGGAACGAACACCAAAGATAGCCTTTCTGTCGGGAGGAGAGAAAAAGGCCCTCCCACAAGCAGGAGAAAACCCACAGAAGAGGAAGCACAAGAGGAAACCACCAACTGCTGGTTTCCAGCAGCACATCACGTCACTCCACCCCACTCCTCCCCCAAGTCTCTCCCTTTCTTTAAGTTTCAAGCTCTGTTTTAGTTCTGTGTTCTTGCACTCCACCATGGTTTTCTGGAACTGTAGGTCTTTTGTTGGACAGAGGGTGATGAGGAGGATAGAGAAGGGATGGTTGGACAGGAGAGAAATTCAGGATATGGAGGCTGGAATTCTGGGTTTATTTTTTCAGCAGGTCATAAAGGTTTAATAGAAATCAAGGTTACTGGAGAGAGAGCTGCTCCTCCTATGTCCTCCCTGCTTATTTATTTAGGTGTCCCCAAGGACTCTACTCCCACTATTCTGTCTGATCTTTCTTTATCCCCATGACAGGACCAGCTAACAACACCCCTACCCCACCCCCTATACACATACTTCAGGATCGGGCCATGATAATCCCACCCCTCTGCCCCATCTCCAAGGCAACCTGTCAGTGAGACGAGGACAAAGGGCACAGGAAGGGGCCCCAATAGGAAACATAAGTGGAAGCACAAAGCTGACCAAGCTACAGGAACAGACCCCTCCCTGCAACAAAGCCCCTTGCCTCGGCTTTATGTTTCCTTCGCAAAAGACTTCGTCATCTCCCTTCCCATCCCTAACTCTACTTTCTTTTTCTTTTCTTCTTCTTCTTTTTTTTTTTTTTTTTTGAGATGGAGTTTCGCTCTTATTGCCCAGGCTGGAGTGCAATGGCACCATCTCAGCTCACTGCAACCTTCACCTCCCGGGTTCAATTGATTCTCCTGCCTCAGCCTCCCAAGTAGCTGGGATTACAGGTGCCCACCACCCCGCCTGGCAAATTTTTGTATTTTTAGTAGAGACAGGGTTTCACCATGTTGGCCAGTCTGGTCTTGACTCCCTGACCTCAGGTGATCCACCCCCCTTGGCCTCCTAAAGTGTTGGGATTACAGGCGTGAGCCACCTCACCCGGCCCCTAACTCTATTTCCTATGCCCAATCCCAAGTGTAGGCCACAAGGACTGCAAGTCCTAGTGCTGAGCTGGGCCCGGAGACAGTAGACTGCGGGGGGCACAGGACCTACTGAGACACCAGTCTGGGCAGCTCAGGGAGTGCTGGCGTCACCCCTTCCCTAATCCCAGGCTGCATGGCTAACGGTTCCTATCTGCAGTCCCAGCCTTCCACTTCCGAGTTCTTCTCTCAGACCACAGTCCCAGCAACCCAGAATTTGGATTGGAGTCTGGAAGAAATGCAGAATGATTAAACGACCACCTTTCCATTTGAAGTCCCCATCCCTGAATCTTCACGGGTGTGCCCAAGCTGTTAGTGTCAAGTTTTTTATATGAGGGTCAGTCGGGTTGTACTCAGATTAATGAAGCAGGGAAACTGAGGCAGAAAAGAGTCCTGTGTTCAGGAGAGGTCGGAGAAACAAGGAGGTTTTCAGGACTCCTCCTTAACACCCCCATCCCCATCCTGTGGGAGATCCGAGGATTCCCCTTCCGGACTCACTCCCTACATCGTCGAGTCCCGCCCCCCTCCAGTCCCCTCCCCAGGTTCAGGGCGGGGCCGGTCGGTGAGTCAGCGGCTCTCTGATCCAGCCCGGGAGAGGACCGAGCTGGAGGAGCTGGGTGTGGGGTGCGTTGGGCTGGTGGGGAGGCCTAGTTTGGGTGCAAGTAGGTCTGATTGAGCTTGTGTTGTGCTGAAGGGACAGCCCTGGGTCTAGGGGAGAGAGTCCCTGAGTGTGAGACCCGCCTTCCCCGGTCCCAGCCCCTCCCAGTTCCCCCAGGGACGGCCACTTCCTGGTCCCCGACGCAACCATGGCTGAAGAACAACCGCAGGTCGAATTGTTCGTGAAGGTAAGAACACTTCTCTCCTCAGCCACCCAAATTCCTGGAAGCCAACTCTCACCTTTCCCCCGGTCCAGCCTTAACTCCCCAATCCCTTCCCTCCTTGACTCCCACCCCCAATCCCACGTGCACTCTTTGGTTGAGGGGTGGTTTTGAGAGGGGAAGACATTAACTTGTTAGCAAGTAATGAGAATTCTAGGATCAACCCTGAAAAGTTTGTAAAAGTGCAAGTTTCTAGCAGACTAAAGGAAGGGAAGTGGAGAAAAAGGAGAATTCCCAAAAGTGAGACTGGGGTGGGGTTAGAGGGCGAGCTGGTGAAGGGACAGTGGGGGCCCAGCAGGGTTTAGAAGGGACAGAGGGGAACCTCAGTTAGGACATGTGTCCCTACAAGATCTGAGGGTGAGTAGTGCAGTAGGAGAGGTGTGTGTGTGTGTGTGTGTGTGTGTGTGTGTGTGTGTGTGTGTGTGTGGATGGAGACGCTTCAGGGAAGACGGTGTGTTGAGGGAGGCCTGAGAGTGAGAGCAAGTAAATTGGGAAGCTTTGGAGGGGCGGAACAAAACAGGAGACTGGGATCGGAGTTTGAAAAGCAGAGCTGGAGAGGTGATCGGGTGGCATTGAATATCCCCAGGACTGGGGAAAGGGACAGAAGGGGAGGTGGCAAGAAGACGTGAGTTTAACGTAGCTACCACAAGGATGGGTGGGAGAGAGATCAGACGGAGGAGAAGAGCTCGGTTAGGGCATTTTGGGATTTGGGGGTTGGAGAAGTAGAAGACTTGCCCCAACTCTCTCCTCTCTCTGCGGGTGTGGGTAAGGAGAGATGGTCCTATGGCATTTGGGTAGCAAAACTGCAGGCAGCAGGCTTCTCGGTGTCACCCAGCCCCTCTCTGATTGCAGCGGCCGCTCCCCTCCCTACCGCTGCTGCATTCATTTCCCAGTCTTGGGACCTCCTGGCTGTGCCCCTCCCTCCCTTCCTTAACAGTGTCCTCTTCTCCCCGCTCCGTTTGTGTCTCTCCGTTGGCACGCACGTCTCCCCACTCTCCACTTTCCTGCCGCCTTTCTTTCCCCTTCCCCCCTTTTGTTTCTCTCATCTTTGTGTGTCTCTGCCTGTGTCTCCCTCTCCCTTCTGCTTGGGTTTCTCGGGCAGCCATTCCCTCTCCCTGGGCCCAGGGAAGTCGGAGCCTGCTTGGGTCCGCCCCCTTAGGTGTGGTCCCCACCTCACTCTCACATTCGCCTCCGGGGCTATTTTTACTCGTGGGTGAGGCTGTGCCGCAGAGATTCCGGCCCTGTGTCCTGTGAGAGGATGGTTATTGCAGTCAGAGGACTTGTGCTGGGAGACCCTGGCAGCAGGTTAGGGGTAGCCTTAGCTGCCCAGGCCTCATCCTCACTGTCCCTTCCCCCACATCCTTGACAGGAAGGAAGCCGGAGACAGAGAGATGAATCACCCTCAGCTTAGGGGGAGGTGTCCCTTGGGCCAATGAGGTCACCACTTGCTAATTAGAGGGCAGCCCCTCTCTGTAGGGCCCTCCACATCTCTAGCGCGAGGCCCAGGGCCCCTTGACTAGACTCCCCACCCAAAGACACCTTGGATTGGAGGTGTAGAGAACCAAAACTCTGGCTCCCAAACCCCACCCACCTCTCCTGTCTTCAGACTCTACTCCCTTCAGGAACCCAGAAATCCAGGCTTCTAGCCTACAACTCTGGCCTCACTGAAGTTCCACACCCTTCCCTCTCTAGGATTCAGATCCTCCCAAGTTCTCCAGGACCTCCTCCCTCTACCTACCTCCCACCTGTCCTCAGTGTCTGGGGAACCAGAAGCCTGCCTTTGCAAAACAGTTTCCCATTGATCTGCCTTAGGTTTGACCCAGGCCCAAGGGCAAAGAGCCCATAGTGAGGGGACAGTGTATGTGTCATGACTAGGCAGAAAACAGCTGGTCTGGGAGTGGGAATGCAGGGACTGGCCTAGGGATGGGTGGGGTGCATCAGGCATAACCTTGGGTTGGGGTTACTTTTCAGGCTGGCAGTGATGGGGCCAAGATTGGGAACTGCCCATTCTCCCAGAGACTGTTCATGGTACTGTGGCTCAAGGGAGTCACCTTCAATGTTACCACCGTTGACACCAAAAGGTAGGCCTGCTTATGTTCCTTGAAACACCCCTGGTGTACACATGTGTGCAAACACACACCCACCCGAGTCCTTCTGTCATGAACATTTTTGCCCTCCCCCTGGAGTCCCTTTCTTATCCCACGTCCTCCATTCCCCCTTTCTGGTTCTTCCTGACCCCCATTTCCAGTCCTGATTCCTGATCCTTTCTCCAGGCGGACCGAGACAGTGCAGAAGCTGTGCCCAGGGGGGCAGCTCCCATTCCTGCTGTATGGCACTGAAGTGCACACAGACACCAACAAGATTGAGGAATTTCTGGAGGCAGTGCTGTGCCCTCCCAGGTATAGGGGCACTCAGAAAGTGGAGAGGTGGAGCAGGGAGATTCTGGGAAACAGACAGTTTGCAGAAATGGAAAACAGAGATGGTGGTGGGGCTGGGGCAGGAGAGCTAGCTGAGGTTCCTCCCAGGAAGACATCTTACCTCATTTTTCCCATTGGCTTTCAGGTACCCCAAGCTGGCAGCTCTGAACCCTGAGTCCAACACAGCTGGGCTGGACATATTTGCCAAATTTTCTGCCTACATCAAGAATTCAAACCCAGCACTCAATGACAGTGAGTCTTGTGGGTCAGAGGCCTGGGTCCTGGGAGGAATAGAGAGGACCCAGCGGGTAGGAGACATTAGGGGCACCTGGACGTTCAGATATCAGGGAGATGAAGCAGATGTTCGTAAATTTCCCCCAGCTTCCCATTTTTGCTTTACCTCTATATTTCCCTGCATTTTCATTGGCCAAGACTTTTAAGCTTTTCTCATTTGTTCCCTAGCCTCTTCTGCCCCACTGAGGACGTTAGTTGGCTGCTGGCCTGTTTTCTGGCAGAATAGGGTCATGCTTAAGAACAGTCATCACTCTAGATCCAGACTACCTGAGTACAAATCCAACTAGCCGTATAATTTTGAGCAATCATTTCACCTCTCTGTAAGTCCATTTCCAGATCCACAAAATTAGGATGACAATACCTATTTCATGGGTTGATATAAATTTTTTTTTTTCTTTTTTTTTGAGATGGAGTCTCGTTCTGTCGCCCAGGCTGGAGTGCAGTGGTGCAATCAGCTCACTGCAACCTCTGCCTGCCGGGTTCAAGCAATTCTCCTGCCTCAGCCTCCTGAGTAGCTGGGATTACAGACGTGCATCACCACGCCCAGCTAATTTTTGTATTTTTAGTAGAGACAGGGTTTCACCATGTTGGCCAGGCTGGTCTTGAACTCCCGACCTCAGGTGATCCACCTGCCTCGGCCTCCCAAAGTGCTGGGATTACAGGAGTGAGCCACTGCACCCGGCGATATAAATGAGTTTGTAAAATGTAAAGTGTTCACTTTGGGAGGCCGAGGCTAGCGCACCACCTGAGGTTAGGAGTTGGAGACCAGCCTGGCCAACATGACTGGTCTCTACTGAAAAAAATACAAAAATTAGCCAGTTGTGGTGGCAGGCACCTGTAATCCCAGCTACTCAGGAGGCTGAGGCAGGAGAATCATTTGAATCTAGGAGGCAGAGGTTGCAGTGAGCCGGGATCATGCCACTGCACTCCAGCCTGGGCAACGGAGCAAGACTCCGTCTAACATAAAATAAAATGTAAAGTGCTTAGAATAACACATAGAAAAGTAACTACATGAGTGTTAGCTATTATTATTTTGGACTCACCATTAGTATCCACCCCCAACGGGCCTTTTCGGACTATGTCAATCTTTTCCTGAAGTTCTAATCAGTTCCCTCTCTTGCACAGATCTGGAGAAGGGACTCCTGAAAGCCCTGAAGGTTTTAGACAATTACTTAACATCCCCCCTCCCAGAAGAAGTGGATGAAACCAGTGCTGAAGATGAAGGTGTCTCTCAGAGGAAGTTTTTGGATGGCAACGAGCTCACCCTGGCTGACTGCAACCTGTTGCCAAAGTTACACATAGTACAGGTGTGTGGTTATTGCGGGAGGAGAGGATGACCACTGGAGTGGCCCTTTAAGGAGCTCCCACATGGGCTTCCCCTGACAACCACTCTAAAGACGATTTCTTTCTTAGGGTGGTTTTCATAAATTGCTACCAATGGCAGACCCCACCCCAGTCCTTTGCAGCAGTCATTGCTAACAAGACCACTGCTTGAGATAATTATATTCCATGATGTAAGTCATGGGTGCAAACAGACTAGCAAAGAGGAATACATCCCAGTATTACTTTTGAAGAATGCTCTTCCTGTCTCGGTATCACTGCCAAATTCCCAGATTAGACAGAGCAGGCTTTTCCTAAAGTCAAAGCTTTAACTTTCTTTATAACTTCAGTCTTCACTTCCTCTTGTGGAAGATCAAAACTGCTGGTTCCCATGTTTTTGTCATAGTCTCAAAGCTATGGTTTAGTTTGTGCAACATGGGCCTGACATCAGTCTGCCACACAACTATGTAGTGAACATCTGTGTACTAAGCATTGAAAGATACACAAGTGTATGGTGACTGGGCCTTGCTCTCAAAGGGTTGAAATCTGAGACAATAAAATATTCACATGAAAGTTAAGAATATATGATGAAAAGTCAGATGGGCCGGGCGTGGTGGCTCACGCCTATAATCCCAACACTTTGGGCGGCCAAGGCTGGTGGACCACCTGAGGTTAGGAGTTCGAGACCAGCCTGGCCAACATGGTGAAACCCCATCTCTACTAAAATTACAAAAATTAGCCGCACATGGTGGTGGGCACCTGTAATCACAGCTATTTGGGAGGCTGAGGCAGGAGAATCACTTGAACCCGGGAGGCGGAGGTTGCAGTGAGCCAAGATCGCGCCATTGCACTCCAGCCTGGGTGACAGCAAGACTCCATCTCAAAAAAAAAAAAGTCTGATGAAAAATATAGAGACAAAAGTCACCTGTGTCAGTGCCTGAAGTGGTATAGGGGGAAAAAGTCACTGTGGAAATTCAAGAGGAGAATTTTATAAGTAAATTATATCTCAAGTTTTAAAAACTCAGGAAAAATGGCTGGTTATTAAAAGCCAGGATTTCAGTAAGTGAGAAGGAAGGCTAACGACAGTACAAGACAGTGAGGAGTTGAGCTGGTTTTATCATGTCGGCCTGGGGAGAAGGGAAAGCCAAGGTGGCTTCCCTGGGTCTAACATGTTGGTCCCTCTCCTCTCCCCATCCTCAGGTGGTGTGTAAGAAGTACCGGGGATTCACCATCCCCGAGGCCTTCCGGGGAGTGCATCGGTACTTGAGCAATGCCTACGCCCGGGAAGAATTCGCTTCCACCTGTCCAGATGATGAGGAGATCGAGCTCGCCTATGAGCAAGTGGCAAAGGCCCTCAAATAAGCCCCTCCTGGGACTCCCTCAACCCCCTCCATTTTCTCCACAAAGGCCCTGGTGGTTTCCACATTGCTACCCAATGGACACACTCCAAAATGGCCAGTGGGCAGGGAATCCTGGAGCACTTGTTCCGGGATGGTGTGGTGGAAGAGGGGATGAGGGAAAGAAATGGGGGGCCTGGGTCAGATTTTTATTGTGGGGTGGGATGAGTAGGACAACATATTTCAGTAATAAAATACAGAATAAAAATCAAGTGTTTTTACGCAATGGGGGTTTAAAGTGTGGGCGACATGGAATGAGGGGTGGGTCAGTGATCTTGAGCTCAGGGCAGAAGCCAGGAATTAAGAAGGGAAATGTTTGTGGTGGGGCTGCTATGTTTCGTGCCGGTCCGCCGGTCCGCCGTTGCGCTGTTCTGAGGTCTACGAAGCGTTTGCAGCCCCGTCGCCAGGGCCGGCCAGATCTGGGTGGGCCTGGGCAGCGCTCGCTGGGCGGTGCCGATTTCTGGCAAGGGGGGCGCAGTCTGGATGTAATGGGCGAGGCTTAGCAGGGCGGAATGGGCGTGGCCCGAAGAAGCCCCGCCCCGTCCCGCTTAGACAATGCCCCGGAGCCGCCAGACCGTCGCGCCCCTGCCCCATCGTAGTATATGAGCTCGCCTACACAAGGACCCCCGCTAAAAGCCAGAGCTCCCAGTCCCCGAGGCTTGAAGACGGGGACTCCCTTCTCCACCAACTCTGTCCTCGGGGGGTGGGGCCCCAGCCGAGATCACAGCGCGACAGGAGTGGGGGTGGCCGCTGGAGGTGAGTCTTGCGTGGGGGGCCCTGAACCGTGTGGGGGCCGGAGTTTGGGGGTGCCGGGCCCATGCCTGCACCAGACAGAGAGTATGGGGAGCCGGTATTTGGGCGCGGAGCTAGGCGGGGTGGACTTTGGGACATAGACGGGGAACCGGGTCCTGGAGCCGGGAGTAGTGCCAGCGCCCCGGAACCACGCCCCCTGTTACCCCGCCCCTCGCATTTCGTTTTAGACCTCTCCCAGTCCTTCGGGACTCGGTCTGGTTTATACTAGGTCGCGCTAGGGGCAGCGTGACCAGCCAGGGCGGAGAGAGGATGCTTAACTCCTTAGGCTCGAACTCCTCCCTTCCTACCCACCTCTCTCCCTTCTCGTTCGGGTATTCAGGACTTCCATTCCCCAGCCCCTGCCTCTCCAGCTTTCTCCTTCTGTCCCATAACCCCTGCGGGTCGCGGGCTGGACTTCCAGTCCCTGCGGTAGCGAGCAGCTGAGGGTTAAGGGGGCGGGGCTGCTGCATTTTTGGGGAGTGAGCGCATCCTAGTGGCTGCCAAGAGGGGCGCCCGACAGGGACCTCACAAGCCCCCAAGCAGGGGCAACAGGTGTTTTGGAGATTAGAGACCCTAGCCTTGTTCCTCAGGCTCCTCTTAAAGAATCTGACCCCTGAGGGTGCTGGGTAGAGTGAGGTCGACAGGAGCGGAAGGTCTGGAGTGGGTGGGGCGGAGTGGGAGGGACGCCTAGAGATGGCAGGAGGAAGACCTGGGCGCTCTTAACCACCCCCAACGCCCTTGTCTGCATGTCTTTTTCTCTGTCTCCTCCTTTTCTGTTTCTTCTCCCAGACAGGTGAAGAAACAAGAAAACTAAGAAATCCGAGCGGTTGGAGGGGGAGTCTGTGTGGATGGGATGGGGACGCCGGGGGAGGGGCTGGGCCGCTGCTCCCATGCCCTGATCCGGGGAGTCCCAGAGAGCCTGGCGTCGGGGGAAGGTGCGGGGGCTGGCCTTCCCGCTCTGGATCTGGCCAAAGCTCAAAGGGAGCACGGGGTGCTGGGAGGTAAACTGAGGCAACGACTGGGGCTACAGCTGCTAGAACTGCCACCTGAGGAGTCATTGCCGCTGGGACCGCTGCTTGGCGACACGGCCGTGATCCAAGGGGACACGGCCCTAATCACGCGGCCCTGGAGCCCCGCTCGTAGGCCAGAGGTGAGCGCCGTGGCGCGGGTGTGGTATGGGGAAAGGCAGAAGGAACTGGATGTCGGGGCTTTGGGGAAGAATTGAGGATGGGGGTGTCACAGCTCCGTGCCCTCTTCTCCTATCCTAAGGTCGATGGAGTCCGCAAAGCCCTGCAAGACCTGGGGCTCCGAATTGTGGAAATAGGAGACGAGAACGCGACGCTGGATGGCACTGACGTTCTCTTCACCGGTGAGGCTGGGGGGAGGCATAGGTCTTGGCACAGGGAAGTAGAGTTTGGGAGACTCGGCCGTCTGGAGCCTTGTTTCTAACTCACTCCCGCCCTCAAACCTCCGCGGCCTCCCGGACTCAGGCCGGGAGTTTTTCGTAGGCCTCTCCAAATGGACCAATCACCGAGGAGCTGAGATCGTGGCGGACACGTTCCGGGTGCGGAGCGGGACCAGCCTAGGGAGGGAGGGGGTGCAGGTGGGGGTCGGAAGGGCCTGGGCGCCCGCTGAGGAAATGAGAGGCAGAGAGCAGCCTATGTTTGAAGATACCCCATCACCCCTCCCGCGCCCCTGAATACCTCCCTTCGCTCTCCCTAGGACTTCGCCGTCTCCACTGTGCCAGTCTCGGGTCCCTCCCACCTGCGCGGTCTCTGCGGCATGGGGGGACCTCGCACTGTTGTGGCAGGCAGCAGCGACGCTGCCCAAAAGGCTGTCCGGGTGAGGAGGGGGCGGGGCCAACGAAAGTGGGCGCAGTTCTGGGCCCGGGAGGCCGGGAGCTGGGAGGCTTAGGAAATTAGCCCTAACCCCTGCCCTCAATGGGCTGTCCATCTTACATGAAAGAACACAGGAGAAAATAAGAAGTTACAACAGCAGGACTGGGAACAGGGGTGATTAATTTGCTCTTCCGGAGTTTCAGGAAACCCCAAAGGTGGCACCTAAACTGTGACTCTAAGGATGGGTAGGACAGATAGGAGGGGCTGGGGAAGGTAGGGGGTTGAAAATAACTGCATGTGATTCCAAGGTGGAAATTAGCAAAGGTAACTAAAGTACTTAGTGTCTGACATATCGTAAGCTCTATGTGCTTGCTGTCATTATTTTCCACAAATGTCAGTCCGTCCCCAGCCCTTAGTGGTGGTTGAGCAGGCAGACACAGCTGTGGAGAGGTTCTGAGACTCGAACACTTCCTCTTTCCTCTAGGCAATGGCAGTGCTGACAGATCACCCATATGCCTCCCTGACCCTCCCAGATGACGCAGCTGCTGACTGTCTCTTTCTTCGTCCTGGGTTGCCTGGTGTGCCCCCTTTCCTCCTGCACCGTGGAGGTGGGGATCTGCCCAACAGCCAGGAGGTGAGAGAGGGCAGGAACTCCAACACCAAGCACCATCAGAGAAAAGAGTTTCAGGCTTTCCTAGTGGGAGGAAGGAAGGGTACCTTCTCTAGAAGCCTGGGTGGGGCCACTCTGAGCTGGCTGGAAGAGTGGCCTGGCTCAGCCTGAGGTCTCACTCCCCTCTCCCCACTCCATGTCTTCCCTGTGCAGGCACTGCAGAAGCTCTCTGATGTCACCCTGGTACCTGTGTCCTGCTCAGAACTGGAGAAGGCTGGCGCCGGGCTCAGCTCCCTCTGCTTGGTGCTCAGCACACGCCCCCACAGCTGAGGGCCTGGCCTTGGGGTACTGCTGGCCAGGGGTAGGATAGTATAGGAAGTAGAAGGGGAAGGAGGGTTAGATAGAGAATGCTGAATAGGCAGTAGTTGGGAGAGAGCCTCAATATTGGGGGAGGGGAGAGTGTAGGGAAAAGGATCCACTGGGTGAATCCTCCCTCTCAGAACCAATAAAATAGAATTGACCTTTTAGACTGGGCTGTGACTGGTGTCTTACTGGGGCAAAGGGATAGGGCAGGGCTGAAACCTGAGTTTGGGGTCAGTGCAGGGAAGAAGGCCTCTTATTCAAAAATCTTGTTAGGTACTTATCAACTCATTGCCCAACCATGTCATAGGTACTTGAGCACAAGATGAACAAGACAGAATTTCTATCATGGGAAGTGTGTCCAGGGCAGAGAAAAGAGTGTATGGGTGGATTGCTCACTGAATTTATCTAAATGTTAGATGATTCAGAGACTGGTAGATTACCAGTCCACCCCTATTTGATAAAGAAAAAGAAATGACACTTCCAGGGACATTCATTTTCATTCATTCATTTAATGAGGCTTAGCAATGATATCAAAAGGGTCAGTCTCCTGACGTTGGGGAGCTCACAGTACATGCAAATTTCTTACAAATTGAAATACAGGTTGTCATGGAACAATTTACAGAAGGCTGTTTCTATGAGGGAAATAAAGGGGGTGTGCCCTAGGGCATCAAAGTATATGCAAGGGGTGGCCAAGGAGGGTCACCTTCCCAGAAAAGGCCATACTTGAACTAAGGATAAATAAGAATTAGCCAGGCAGATAGTGTGAAGGAGGGAAAGGGGTAATACAGGAAGAAGGAATTGCACTGGGCAAAGACATTTTGGGGCTAGGGAGAATTCTCTAAGGCTGGCATTTTCTAAGATGTGCATGTGGAATGACACAGGTAAGCCTGGAGAGTGGACAAAGTGCTGTAGTACCTTGTATCCAAAGCCAAGGCACGTGGGCACAGAGCTGAAGCTAAGGAGAGTACTTCAGTTCTGTAATAAGGGCTGTCAGGAGCAGTTATCTCTTGAGTAGGATCTCTCTGACTTCAGGGAGGAAAGCAAGGGTAGGAGGATGAGGTGGGGCTATGGGTAATCCAGGAAGGAAGTGAGCAGAGTACATTCACGTGGCAGCGCTGGGCATGGAATACAGTGTGGGTTTGACAGTGATGTTAAGATAGAAAGACTGGACTTCATGGCTCATTGTGTGGGAGTAAGAGAGAAAGGAGGTCTGCGTGACTCCCAGTTTCTGGGTTGGGCAACTGGGTTGTTAAAGAGAATACAGAGGAGAATTAAGTGAGCAGCTTCAGAGATGACAATGAGTTGGGTTTGACATTCAGAGTGCGAAATGCCTGAGGTCAGTCAGGCAGAATGTCTAAGTGGAAGTTTGTTAATCCCAAATCTGAGATCTGAGCCAGAGAGAGTTCTGAGTGTCATTTGCAGAGGAGGGGGCTGAGGACTGACTGTTGATGAGAGTGTCCCAGAAGAAGAGAAAGGGACAAACCTAGAATGGTGGGAAATACTGTAGGGATATGGAGCAAGGAAGAGGAGTCCAAAAAGAAAACACCAGCAACAAAGAAAAACAGCTTAAAGAATCAGGCCGGGCGCGGTGGCTCACACCTGTAATCCTAGCACTTTGGGAGGCCGGGGCGGGTGGATCACGAGGTTAGCAGATCAAGACCATCCTGGCTAACACAGTGAAACCCCGTCTCTACTAAAAATACAAAAAATTAGCTGGGCGTGGTGGCGGGCGCCTGTAGTCCCAGCTACTCAGGAGCCTGAGGCAGGAGAATGGTGTGAACCCGGCAGGCGGAGCTTGCAGTGAGGGAGATGGTGTCACTGCACTCCAGCCTGGGCAACAGAGCGAGACTCCGTCTCAAAAAAAAAAAAAAAAGGAGCTAGGGCTTGATTGGGTATAGAGAGGACACTGGTGGTGAGGGAGACATGGAGGTTATAGGAGAGATGGGAGTAAGTTTAGAAGTAAGACCAGTGGCAGAGACAGCCTGGAACCCAGGTCTCCCAACTCCCAGTCTAGCACTTATTTCTATACCATGGTGCCTTCCTCTTCCAGGTGAGGAACCAAGGAGGGGAGAGGGATTATGGGGAGCTGGGATCCCCTAGCTTGGGAGGTTTGGAGTAAGGGCTTCCCTTCAAACTACAACTGCATAGATGGTGGAGGCATCAGCAGGGTCCGCTGTGGACAGCCGGCGGGGCCTGCTGAGGGCTAGATGGTCCAGATCCGCATAGAGCAGGCTCTGGAGGAGGAAGGGGAGGAAGACAAGATGGTCTCCACAGTCTTCCTTGGGGTTCAGGCCTTTTTTTTTTTGGTCCATTTTCCTCAGAGATTCTGGCTATCCCCTTCCCATCCCCATGCCCTTACCGGTTCCTGGTCCAGGTCCCCTGGAATCTTGGGCTCTTCCTCCTTTACTGGCCTCTGGGGCTCGGTTTTCACAAGTGGAGCTATGTGGGGGGGACAGAGCTGAAGGATGGAGAGAAGGTGACCAACGTGTCTGCTCCCAGCAAGGGCTCAGACTCAGGAATTGAGGGGTGGGGAGTGGGCATGTAGGAGAAAGAAAATGGGGTGGAATTAGTCTCACCAAATCTAGGGAGTGGTCGAATCGGTTGCGGGGGCAGGCGCCTGTAAGGGACATATGAGTCTTTGAGAACCACCAGTCTTGTCTCACTGGTTCTCCTGGGACTCGCCACGCCAAGGACAGCCCAGCAACTTGAAGGCTCAGACCGGAAACAACTTAGACTCTACCCCACCGACAGTCCAGCCCAGGCTCTAACTCTGCTGCACTTCCAGCTCATCTGCTCTGGTGGGGCTCTACTCACCAGTCAGCGGCCTCGCTCCCACCTTTGACCTCTCCCATTCTTCGCCAAGCCAGGACCAGAGCTCTAGGTCTAGCTCTTTCTTTTGCGAAGGTTCTGGTCCTGCCCCTTCCACCTCTGGTCACTCCCCATTTAACGAGGCCGGGTCCCTCCTGCTCACCTGTGCAGCCACCAGACCAGGCCCAAAGCTCCCAGTCCGAGCACCAACCCAGCGCCCAGCAGCGGGATCAGGAGCTGGGGATACACGGACCCTGGGGGAAAGGCGTGGCGGGGAGGGATGCTGAGGTCAGGGGTTTGACGAGGGACAGCCAGCAGTCCCGCTCAAGAACCCCCAGCCAAGGCCCTCTTCCCTCCTCCGGGTATGTGTCGGAGTTAAGTACCCTTGTGCGCACAGGCCTGCACCTACCATGGGTAGGCCCGGGGGCCTTGCAATAGGTCCTGTCCCCCAGCACGTGAAGCACTGTACGGCTCTCGTCCTCGTGGCGGCCCTTGCAGAAAAAAGTGCCCGAGTCCCCCGCGCTCAAGAGGAGCTCCAGCCGCCGGATACCAGAGTCCAGGGAGCGTAGGCGGCCGACGAAAGGCTGGAGGGGAGGCACGGTGGGGGTCCCGCTCGAAGAGGCCCACAGGATCGGTCGGCGTCCTTTGGACAGGCCCTTGCAGGCCGGGAAGCTGGGTGCCCAGACCCAGCGGATGGGATGAGAGACTCCTCCGCAGGAGAGATTCACCCGGTCCCCAGGGCGGCCGTCCAGAGAAGCTAGGAGAGGCCGGAGGCTGTGGTTAGGGCACGTCCACAGGGCAAGACGACCCTCCATCCCGTCTCCTCTTTCTCTTCTCTGTTCTGCACTCCAGCCATCCTGGATCTTCCCACACACAACCCACCCTACTAGGCGGCCCTTATCTTGCTTCAGCCCCTCTGCGTCTATCACAACTCTCCCAGGGATCGCTTACCCCCAGGGTTCCCTTGGGCCCTCGAGAGCAGCAGCGGTAGCAGCTGCAGAAACACAGCCATGGTTAGGATGTGGTGAGGAGAAGCTGCGAGCGAATCAGCGGCGTGGGGCCGGTTGGGGGGGGACCGGAGGGAAGTTAGGCGTGGGGAGAACGGAGGGGCTGGGGGGCTCCGATAAGAGAGGGGGCGGGGCCACCAGCTGCCCAGATCCCTTTGGGAATCCTCGCAGGCAAACTCGGAGTCTTCAAATGGTTCTCACTTAAAATGTGTGCTCGGGCCATTTACACAAATGCTTTGGCCTGCTTAACTTTTCAGGTGCGCCTGTAATCCCAGCTACTTAGGAGGCTGAGGAGGGAGGATCGCTTGAGCTCAGGAGGTCGAGGTTGCAGTGAACTGTGATCAGGCCATTGCACTCCAGCCTGGGCGACAGAGCCAGCCAGACCCTGTCTCAAAAACAACAACAACAAAAACTCCTGTTTTGTAGGGGATTGTGATAACGAAATAAAGTAATACATGTAAACTGCTTAGAATACATAGGATCACTATGTAAGTGCTTGCCATTATTATTACTATTTCTATTCTTTTTTTTTTTTTTTTTTTTGAGTCAGAGTCTTGCTCTGTGGCCAGGCTGGAGTGCAATCTCGACTCACTGCAGCCTCCGGCTCCTGGATTCAAGTGAGTCTCCTGTCTCAGCCTCCTGAGTAGCTGGAACTACAGGTGCATGCCACCACACCTGACTAATTTTTGTATTTTCAGTAGAGATGGGGTTTCACCATGTTGGCCAGGATGGTCTCGATCTCTTGACCTTGTGATCCACCCACCTCGGCCTCCCAAAGTGCTGAGATTACAGGTGTGAGCCACCACACCCGGCCTACTATTTCTATTCTTATTTTAGCTTCTACCTCACCTCTCTGTGCCCATGCTGTTCCTCCTGGCTTGGTACCCTGCCCAAGTTGGCAGGTTTTGACTGGGGAGGTGCTTTGGAGCAGGTGCACACAGCCACACCTAGGACAATTGCTGCTGCTGGACTGGAGCAACAAGGCCACACCAAGCGCAAGTGGAGCACGGGTGACATCCTGAGAACCTTCATGGGAGCCTGAGGCAGCCCTACTTAGCAGACCTGTGGTGGCTCTCCTGGATGAGTAGCCCCAGCCCCTGCCTCTGCTGCTGTGGCATCACAGAAGCCATCAGTGAGTCACTTATTGCTGAGCAGGCATTGGAAAGACCGAGTGGGGGCTGAATGGAGATTAATTTGACCCATTCCTCCCCCAATTTCCACCAGCATGCCCCTATCAATGCCCAGCAGGGACCCAGGGACCCAAATTCAGCAATTAATTTGGGCCACATCCTTTTGTCCATTTTCCAGGAACCAGCAGAAGCTGCCACCATGGACACTGTAAATCACAGAGGCCTTTGATGATGCTCATTCAGAGGACTGAGCAGCAGGACTCTTAGCTGGGGACCAGGAAGGGCATCTTGGCCTGAAACCAAGAACCACAATGGCATTGGCCACTAGTGGCACCTGCCTTCCCCCATCCCTCTCTCCCATCCCTACTCCCCACTCAGTCCTGCTCAGTGCCTTCCCACCCCTTGTCTTTTCTCTGGTCAGCTGCGTAGTAAGTGAGAAGGGAGGGGCTACCAGAGGCAGGGAAGGGAGGAGCCTTTGGGTTTATAAATTCCAAAAAGGCCACTCAACTCCTAGAGCTGGATCCTTGAAAATCTACTCTATCAGCTGCTGTGGTTGCCACCATTCTCAGGACCCTCGCCATGAAAGCCCTTATGCTGCTCACCCTGTCTGTTCTGCTCTGCTGGGTCTCAGGTGAGCACCTGGGGGCCCCAAAGACCTGGTTTGCCTGGTCAGGACCTTTACACCCTGCTCTACCCACTTCCCGGCCCTACCCACCACTCGGGATCCCAACACCCCCAGCCCCAACTGGCTCAGCTCTCCTGTGCCACCAAGACCAGGCTTCCCTATGACAGCCTCCTTGCTCTATTTCTCAAAAAGCCAGGTCTCCATCCATCCTCCCCACCTCCAAGAAAGACCCATTTCTCTCACCTGCCAGGGCTCTGGGTCCCCTGTTCCCCACTCCAAGGTGTCTCCTCCTTGGAAACTCTGGTATCCAGTTCCCCAACCAGCCCCACTTCAATATGCAACTCTCCAGAGTCTAGCTTACCTGCCTTCTCCTCTATCTGCTGTGCTCAGTAAGGTGTCCTCTCGAAGACCTAGGCATCCAGCCCCAGGCTCCTTTTGTAACCTACCCTCCCCATCTACTCCATCAGGGACTCACATGTTCAGTCTCTCAGCCATGGCCTTTCCTAGATACCCCCTACTCCCCTCCTGGGTTGCATACCTCCTCCCATACAGGGGATACAAACTTTCTAGATGGTTGCAGTGACATCTAAGAGCCTCCATGGAAACAGAGCGTTTTCTTGAGCCTTCTGAAGAGGGGACAACTGGGCCACTTACCTCCAGGGTGAAGTGGATTTCACTGAGGTACACTTACCAGGCTCTTCCACCCTCGGACCCTGCGTCACCAAATCTTGCCTGCCCAAACCTTGAATTAACTGAAGCAGGAAACTTGGGGTGCCACCTTCTGTATCCACCCTCTCCATTTTGATAAGGTGCTAAGATGGAATCTGGTGATCTGTCTCTCAGGTATCATTCCTTTCTGCTGAAGAGCTACTGGGGTGAGAGGATTCTATTCTGGTCTGGTTCCTCTTGCCACACTCTTGCCAGCTCCAGGAGGTGAAGAGTAAATTGTAAATTGCTAAAGCTGGCCACAGATGGCTTTCTCGCCAGCCTCAAGTTCCAAGGCATTTCTGACAGTGTTGTAACCCTCATGATTTTCATTTTTATTATTTCTCCTTCTTTCAAGTTTCCATCTCCTCCTTCACCATCCACATTCTTTCCCCATGGTATCTTCCTCACATTCCATCTATCTCCAGCCCCATGTTTTTCTTCATAGTTCTGTCCCTCTTGACTCACCTCCAAACGGGGTGGAGTGATGGAAGATATGTAGGGCGTGGGCCTTTCACAAAGCAACAGCTCTACCCTTACCTGCCGCCCACTTTCCATTTTCCCTGCATCACTCACCTGCTCTGTGCTTGCTAGACCAAACAGCCAAACAGGTTGGAGCACCTACGGGATGGGCTCTTCTCCACCCTCCACCCCTGCCCCCAGCTCAGCTTATCCCCAGGTAAGTCAGAGACCCCATCACCTCAGCCTGACTTGTGTCTTCCCAGCTGACATTCGCTGTCACTCCTGCTACAAGGTCCCTGTGCTGGGCTGTGTGGACCGGCAGTCCTGCCGCCTGGAGCCAGGACAGCAATGCCTGACAACACATGCATACCTTGGTAACATCCCCTTCCTTAGTGGGGTGAACAGGGAGGTGGGAGCCTCTATGACCAGGACTGAGGCCCAAATGGGTCTAAGACTGAGATGGAGAAGCAGAGGATTATAGCAATGATAATATTTGGCCAAAGATGGTTGTGTGCCAGGCAACATCCTATGTCTTTGCATGCCTTTTTTTCAATTAATGTTCATGACAACCCTGTGATGTGGGTGCTATTATTATACTGAGAAAACGGCCTCAAAAAGAGACAGTAACACAGCCGGGCATGGTGGCTCATGCCTGTAATCCCAGCACTTTGGGAGGCCAAGGTGGTTGGATCACTTGAGGTCAGGAGTTCAAGACCAGCCTGGCCAACATGGTGAAACCCCATTTCTACTAAATATACAAAAATTAGCCAGGCATGGTAGTGGGCGCCTGTAATCCCAGCTACTCGGGAGGCTGAGGCAGGAGAATCGCTTGAACCTGGGAGGCGGAGGTTGCAGTGAGCTGAGATGGCACCACTGCACTCCAGCCTGGGCGAGAGTGAGACTCTGTCTTGGAAAAAACAAAAAAACAAAAAACAGAGACAGTAACAGGTCCATGGCCAGCAAGTGATAGAACCAGGACTGGGGGAGTGGTGGGTAAGGATGTGCAGAAGGAAGATCAGACTAAGAAAAGAGAAGGGGAGGGCCAGGGACAGAGTTGGGAAGGAAGGAAGCCTAGGTGGGTGGATGGGGTGGGGAGGTGGACACAGGCATGCCAGGTGCCCATCCTGGCCGATTCCCTGCCCATTCCCACCCCTAGGTAAGATGTGGGTTTTCTCCAATCTGCGCTGTGGCACACCAGAAGAGCCCTGTCAGGAGGCCTTCAACCAAACCAACCGCAAGCTGGGTCTGACATATAACACCACCTGCTGCAACAAGGACAACTGCAACAGCGCAGGACCCCGGCCCACTCCAGCCCTGGGCCTTGTCTTCCTTACCTCCTTGGCTGGCCTTGGCCTCTGGCTGCTGCACTGAGACTCATTCCATTGGCTGCCCCTCCTCCCACCTGCCTTGGCCTGAGCCTCTCTCCCTGTGTCTCTGTATCCCCTGGCTTTACAGAATCGTCTCTCCCTAGCTCCCATTTCTTTAATTAAACACTGTTCCGAGTGGTCTCCTCATCCATCCTTCCCACCTCACACCCTTCACTCTCCTTTTTCTGGGTCCCTTCCCACTTCCTTCCAGGACCTCCATTGGCTCCTAGAAGGGCTCCCCACTTTGCTTCCTATACTCTGCTGTCCCCTACTTGAGGAGGGATTGGGATCTGGGCCTGAAATGGGGCTTCTGTGTTGTCCCCAGTGAAGGCTCCCACAAGGACCTGATGACCTCACTGTACAGAGCTGACTCCCCAAACCCAGGCTCCCATATGTACCCCATCCCCCATACTCACCTCTTTCCATTTTGAGTAATAAATGTCTGAGTCTGATAAAATGTACATTTATTATAAGAAGACCTAAGGGTCAGGTCACCTCCCAGGAAATAATACTCTCAATCTCCCTCCCTTACACAGGAATCCTTCAGGGAGGTTCCCTGGGAGGCTGGGCTGGGGAAAATGGAGAAACAGGTTTTTCAGGTCTTCATCCTCCCTTCCAGTGTCTCCAGGTGGCACACAACAACTCATATCCTAAATTTAGGCCACACCCCTGATGTATTGCCAAGAAGAAGGTGCGGCCTGGCTTGAGGGCTCTCCAGAAAGGATAGGAGAGGTACATGGAGATGGGGCCTGAGACCCTGTTTCTTCAGTTTCTCTCAGGTTAGAGTCAAAGGCCTCACCTAGCCTAGTTAGTAAGTAGGGCATCAAGCAGTTTTTACCTATCACAGTTTTTACATTTCTTTTCTCAATTCAAAATAGTCCTATTGGGAGCCAACTTGCAAATGGGAAATAGGGGAGCAAACCCAGACTCAGGCTCACAAAACCCTGGCAACCCCACTCAATGAATCTCATTGCTAAGGAAGATTCAACCCAGCAACAGGATCCAGGAGCCACAGAAGGCAGATAAGCCATTGCCCTTTGGGGTTTAGTTGGTTAAGGAGTGCACCACTGTAATTAAGCCCGCTGTTGCTTGGTAACCCCCAAACTAGAACCTGGATGCCCCATATTACGCTTTTAGCCCTCCCATCAACCAAAGATAGATGTAATTTTCCAGTCAGCTGTAGAGTGGTTCATAGATTTTAATGACTCACAGAAGGATGTTTGTCTTCTCACATTAGATGTTCAGATGTCCCTTGTTCCCTTGCTCCCTTGTTCCCTTCTCTACTCCTACTCCCCCTATCCGCTCCACAGTCCTGGCAAGAGACAGGTCAGGGCGGTAGCTGCTGCAGCCAAAATGCCTGCAGGGGCCACATGGCTTGCCACGGCGCTGTTGCACAGGTCTCCCAGGTAGCAGTCCCTGTGGGCTGGATAAGTCACGTCTCCCACCGACTCTGTCTCCACTTGATTGCAATGATGGGCTGCGACGCAGGCTGGATGTTGGTGAATCAAGGTCACTGGGGCTGAGAGAGAGAATGAAACTGGGGTGTTGGACTCCTGGCTTCAGGACTTGCCTTCTGGGGCAGAGCAGATGTGATTTCAAGGAGCCCAAAGGGATTTTCAGCCCCCTCAAAAAACACCTCCCTGAAACCAAGTGATCAAAGTTAATGCATTGACCTTGTAAACTCCTGATGTGATGCAGCAAGAAGGATGCAACATCACTTCTGCAGTATTCTTGCTTAAAATGCATGACCTCAATCTCATCATGGCAAATATCAGATAAATAAATATCGAGGGACATTCTATAAAATAATTTTTAGTATTTCAAGTATCTGTAATTTTTTTTTTTTTTTTGAGACGGAGTTTCACTCTTATTGCCCAGCTGGAGTGCAATGGTGTGATCTCGGCTCACCGCGACCTCCACCTCTTGGGTTCAAGCAATTCTCCTGCCTCAGGTTCCCGAGTAGCTGGTATTACAGGCGGGCACCACTACACCCGGCTAATTTTGTATTTTTAGTAGAGACGAGATTTCTCCACATTGATCAGGCTGGTCTTGAACTCCCGACCTCAGGTTATCCACCCGCCTTGGCCTCCCAAAGTGCTGGGATTACAGGCGTGAGCCACTGCATCCGGCACGTAATTTTTGTTTAATCTAAAAATGATTTTATTTAATTTTAGAGAAAAGATCTTGCTCTCTCACTCAGGCTGGAGTGTGGTGGTGCAATCATACCTCCCTATAGCCTCAAACTCCTGGGCTCAAGTAATCCTCCTGCCTCAGCCTCTCAGGAAACTGAGATTACAGGTGTGTGCCACTATGCCTGGCTAATTTTTTAAAAACATTTTTTGTAGAGATGGGGGTCTCACTTTGCTGCCCAGGCTGGTGTCAAACTCCTGACCTCAGGTGACTCTTCAGCCTTGGCCTCCCAAAGTGCTGGGATTACAAGTGTGTGCCACCAAGCCTAGCCTAAAAATTATTATTATTATTATTTTTGAGACAGGGTCTCATTTTGTTCCCCAGGCTGGAGTGTAGTGGCGTGATCATGGCTCATTGTAGCTTCAATCTCCCAGGCTCAAGCGATCCTCCCTCTTCAGCCCCCTGAGTAGCTAGGACTACAAGCATGTGCCACCACACC
Organism: Homo sapiens; assembly: GCF_000001405.40. Lineage (NCBI taxonomy): Eukaryota > Metazoa > Chordata > Mammalia > Primates > Hominidae > Homo > Homo sapiens. The sequence continues at coordinate 3,015,766 of NT_167249.2, read as the reverse complement.
CAACTAATTTTTTAATCTGTTTGTTTGTTTGTTTGTTTGTTTTTTGTAGAGACAGGGTCTCCCTATGTTGCCCAGGCTGGTCTCAACTCTTGGGCTCAAGTGGTCCTCCCACCTTGGCCTCCTAAAGTGCTGGGATTACAGGTGCGAGTGACTGCACTGGCCCTAAAAGTAATTTTTTAAACTCCAGGTATAAAATAATTTATCAGGGCTCTTCAAATGTGTCAGGGTCATGAAAGACAAAGAAAAACAGAACTGGCACAGATCAGAGGAGACTAAGAAGACATGAGAGCTAAATGCAATGTAGGATCTTGCTAAATCAAATAAAGTCTGTAGATTAGTTAGTAGTATTGTATCAGTTATTTTGTGATTTTGATAATTGTGCTATGGTTATGTAAGATGTTAGCATTAGGAGAAGTTGAGTATTTCTGCAACTTTTCTGTCAATCCAAAATTATGTTAAAATAAAATATTAAAAACATGTACACACACACACACACACACACACACACACACACACACACCCCTCCCTGGTCCTTAACTAATGCCGAAAATTTGAAGTTTGGTTTTAACTTTGGCCTTTCAGGGCCAGAGCTCTTCATTTGTGAGCTAATGGGCCTATGAGATTCTTTTAGGAGAATAAGGAGGTGGGGAAGTGGGGGCACAAGGACTGTGGGCCTCTCAGGGGCTCCGTGCCAGGAGCCAGAAGGGGTACAGACTGCTCTCCTCTAACAGCTGCACCATCTGCCCAGAGCCAGACTGAGCCTGGAGGGTTCTGGAAGCCAGAAGGATTGACATGGGGCTGGAGGCAGGGAAAGGCTGCTGGAAGAGGGAGAAACTGAGGACTCACGGTTTCCAGGTAGCTTGATCTGTTCCAGGCCTGGCTGGGGTCTGCCCTCGCCACAGGTGGTCACGGCCTCTTTGCAAGTACTGCTGGGGCTTCCACCACAGTTGTAGCACCGCATTCGGTTTCCTGGCAGGAGAAAAGAGGCGCTGGACCTGGGCCCTCGGTGGAGCCGGCTGGCAGAAGGCCTGTGTGAGAAGCTAGCTGGCCGCCTCCTTACCCAAGGCAGCCCCTAGCAGGGAGCTGAGCAAGATCCCAACAAACTGGGGTTTCATCGCAGTCTGCCCGTGTCAGGACCGCCTCTACCTCCTGCCCACCCCCCTCCCCAGCCCGGCTCTGCCTGCCTTATATCCCCCGTGCCTTGAGCTTTATAGGGCTATAAAAAAGGAAGAAAGAGTCTCCCCCAGCAGGCACCAAGGGCCCCAGTGGGGACAGGGAGGGGCCCCACAGCATGCTCTCAGCATCCTCTGGAGTCCTCAAACTCCTTTATCCTCAGCAGCAGTCTGTGGACCAACAAGAACCCCTGAGGATCCCTGATACCCTTTCACAGGGTCCTTGAGGGTCCTCCTTTTGCAACTATCTGTGTAAGGTCAGATTTTCTTCATATACTGGACTTCAACGAAAACAACATATCCCAACAGACTGAATGCAGAAGCAGATAGGAAAACCCAGGCATCTCCCACGAAGCCTGACACTAGATTCACAAAAATGTAAAGCAATGCTCAGCTTCTCACTGTGCTGTGGAGAAATAATAGTTATTTTTCACAAAACTGTATTTTGTTAGCATGTAATACTTTATTATTTTTATTGTTTAAATAAATCAATAAATACCTACTTTAAATTTTCTGTTTTAATTTTTAATGTAGTAAATATTGATATAACCTCATAAAGAAAAGCTCTTCAGAGTCTTAAGTAACTTTGAAAAGTGTAAAGAGGTCCTGAGATCAATATTTTTGAAAAGAGCTGCTCTCCTGGGCACCTGTGTCTCCCCTATCTTCACTCCCTGTTCCTAGTCTTACTCCTCCTGGTACATGCTGGCTCTGATTCCCCAGATGGGCCTTCCTCCTTCCCAGTCTCTTCAACCCCAGCCTTCCAGGCTGTATCACCACCCCCCTACCCCAAATCCCATCCATGCCTTCCTTTCTAGTGATTTCTCCCCAGTGCAAGCACATCAGCAGGCCCTCCAGCCCCACCCGTGGTTATTTCTTTCCTCCAAGGTAGTAAAGCTGGCAGGGATAATTACAGGGTAGGAATGTTGAAGCTTGGGGGGATCAAAGGGATCTGAAGCTGGGTGGGGTCCGCCCTTACACAGCTGGGCTTTGTGTGTGCATGTGGGTGTGTGGGTGGGGGTATTGTTGATTCTACACTCAAACAGATCCACGCCGGGGCTGTTTAGGAGGGTGACTTTGAGAGACATGAAAGCACTGAGGGGGAAAGACAGAGAAAACAAAGACAGAGAGAAGCTGAGAGAGCCAGGGAGCAGCTTGAGACATGGGGAGGGAGGGGGAGGAGTAGGAGGGAAGGCGACAGACACAACTCAGGAGCAGGAGAGGAAGCTAAGTTACAGAGACAACATGCTGAGAGAGCAGAGGAGACCCTCCAGGCAAGGGCAGACTCCTTGCAGGGGCAGGCTGGGGGCCCCCGCTGCCTGCTGGGTCAGGCTGGTGAATCTGGTCATGGTTCCGCCCCCCAGATTCACTCCCTAGGTGTGTTTGTTTACTGGTTCCTCACTGTCTTGCTCAAATGCTCCAACTCTACAAATCCCGGGATCTCGGGGTGCAGATCACCTCTCCCAGATTCCTGAGCCTGTGTCTGGCCATGGGCACCTCCAGCATCTTCCTCTGCGTGCTGTTCCTCTGTGGGGCACTGGGTAAGGGTGGGCTGGGGAACCTTCAGTGGTCAGGGGGCTGGGGGTGGGGACAAGGGCATGTGGAGGAACCTGAGGGCTGGGGAGGAGAGGGGTGTGGGTGCTGGAAGAGGCCAAGAAGAGAGCTGGGGGAGTGGGGGACTTCAGGGAGACCAGCCACTGGGAAGGCCAGCCTGATGAGGTGGGAAAGGAAGAGTTTCCTTTCAAGGCATTTGAGAATAACTGTCTCCCCCTTGCTGCATCTTTGATCCGCCCCTGTCTCCCCTATCCCTTATTTCACGTGTTGCTTCTGTGCTGGGCCCTTTGGTCAATGTCAATTTCTATTTTCCTATCTGTCTCTGGTGCCATTTACTTAACTTTTTCACTGACCCCCTCAACTTCCCTGCTGCTGGGTCTGGCTTTTTGTCTCACTCTTTTTATGTTGGTCTCTGATTCTTGTGGCTTCTGTTCATGTCTGCGCATCTCTCAATCCCTGTACCCCTCTTGCCTCCATCTCTGTTTCTTTTCCTGCATCGTCTCCCTCTTTTTTTTTGAGACAGAGTCTCGTTCTGTCACCCAGGCTGGAGTGCAGTGGCATGATCTCGGCTCACTGCAACCTCAGCCACCCAGATTCAAGAGATTCTCCTGCCTCAGCCTCCCAAGTAGCTGGGACTAGAGGCATGTGCCACCATGCCCGGCTAATTTTTTGTATTTTTAGTAGAGACGGGGTTTCACTGTGTTAGCCAGGATGGTCTCAATCTTCTGACCTCATGATCAGCCCGCCTCGGCCTCCCAACGTGCTGGGATTACAGGCGTGAGCCACTGCGCCCAGCTATTTTTTCTACTTCTGTCAGCTTTCCTCCCTTATTCCACAGCTTTCCTCTCTCTGCTTCATGTGTCACCTCTCTCTGTGATCCCTCTCCGGATCTGGCCTCTGCCTGCCCCACAGGGAGGGTTTGCCTCTCCTGCTCTCCTAATCTCTGCTGCCTCAACAGGTCTCACCATGTCCCCTGCCCGGGGAAGGCTCCGCTGCTACATCTGTGGCTTCACCAAACCCTGCCACCCTGTTCCCACCGAGTGTCGGGACGATGAAGCTTGTGGCATCAGTATTGGCACTTCAGGTAGGACTCTGGTCCAATGGCCCTTCTCCAGGAGGCTCCCTACCTCCATCCATCCGGCCTTTCCTGTGGCCCCCGCCTCAGCATGCCTCTTTCATCCCACAGACCAGAGTGAGATCACTGAGTGAAAAAGCTGCCTCTCAAGGGCCCAGTGCCCTCTGCCAGGCTATGCCACCTACTGGCTGCACTCCTACACTCTGTGGCACCACTGCTGCGAGCAGGACCTGTGCAACATAGCCGCTTCCCCACAGCAGCTCACCAGCCTCCTCGCCTCCCTGCCCCTCTTTGTGGCCAGCTTCGCTGGGAGAGGACACCTCCTCCACTAGCTTCCGTGGATCTGCAGCCCCCAACCCAGGATACCCCCCGCCATCACTGCGGCCCTGGAAACACCTGCACAGACACTTTGAGACATGCCCGAGAACCTAATTTTGTACAGAGACCCCAGATCTCTCAGCAGACCCCTCACAGACCCCTCACAAGGCCTGGGGAGGCACCTGCCCAGAGTCCAACCTCATAAAGAACACCTATTCTGCGTCTTTTGTCTTTTCTAGATGCCCATTGCTGATGCCCCGTGTCAGCCCAGGTCACTGGCAAGGCAGGCATTTTGATGACACTGTGGATCTCAGGCAAGGGGATCAAAGGAGCATCAGGTATGGTAAGGAGGAGAGTCTTGCTAGGAAAGACTAATGTGGTAGGTCGGGAACTCAGGATGGAGGGCTTGGGGGACTATGAAGAGTACCTTTAATAAAAGGTCTATCTAGGAGTCCAGTAATACTGCAGATACTGCAGTGTGTGTGTGTGTGTGTGTGTGTGTGTGTGTGTGTGTGTCTGTGTGTGTGTGCTCTAAGAGCAAACTGTAGCTGCTTGGTGGGTTGGGCTGGAGCTGGAACCTGGACCACGGCACTCCCCTCATTCTCCATCTGTGTCATTTTCGTCCTTTTTCTTGCCAATGGCTTAGTTTAAGCCCCTGCAGCCTGAAGCCTTTAGGTGAGACTTCTGAGAAAGCTTTTTTCCAGTAAGGCCCAAGCTTGAGCAGAGACACAAAAGGGCACCCAGTGGAGCTGCTTGTGAGGGTGTGGCTGGAGCTCAGCTCATTTCTGCCTGAGACTAGGGAATGGCCAAGTTGGGAGCATCAATATCCTCCCTCGCTTCACCAGCCCAGACTCGCCCATGGTTCACAGACATCCCAGCATGGCCCCGGCCCAATAAATAACATACCCCCACTGGGCCTGCCAGCCTGAGTAGACACTCCCTCTGCCCCCGAGAAATAGGGTGTGACCTCAGGGCAGCAGGAAGGAAGTGCCAGAGTGGCGATAGCTGCTCACATGCTCTGAATGCCCCGGTAAGGCGCCACAGGGAAGAGTGTGTGCCTAGGATAAGGAAGGATAAGGAGGGGGCCCCGGGTGGGAGCTGAGCACAGGCATCTCTATCCTGACTCAGTTCCCTCCCCTTGCATGTGAGGAAGTCTGGGGTTGATTAAATATGCCTGTTCCCTCTCTTCTTTGTGAGGATGAGACATGGGGTAGTGGGGGTCTGGCTTAATTTAGAGATGGGTTGAGGCTTTCCATTTTCTCTGTCCCTCCATCCTCCCACTTTGTGCTTCTATTTTTCTCCCTCTGTCCATCTCTTTCCACTTTCTCTGACTTGAGTCTCTTCCCTTCTCTCTCTTCCCCCGTTTTCCCCATTTGTCCTTCAGCTCCACTGCAATGGATTCCCCACCATTGCTCAAGTCTCCAGATTCCTGTCTCCTCCCTGTGCACACCCATCCTCCTTGCCCCCACCAGCAACCTCAGGCTCCCCTCAACCCCACAGTACTATGGGCTCAGGGCCATCCCTCCACTGCTGCTACAAGACAGGAGACCAAACCTTTTTGTAGGTTACATCACAGAATAATGCTCCTCCTTTCCTTCAGTCCCCCACCCCTCCCCATACACAGCTTGGTGGCTGCTGGAGGCCAGCTGGATGGTGAAGTCGAACTCTCAGTCCCGCCCCCCTTGCTAAGGTTGTCGAGGAATCTTCCAGGTGCCAGATGGCCAGCGAGACAGCAGGTCACACTTCCCAGCAGATGTCACCAAAATCACCTGGGCTTGTGGGCAGGTGGGCTGTGGGGTTTTCCAGAGAGACAGATTAAGGATACCTCTACTTTTCACATCCTCAGGAACGAGGGCCCATCCCCAACCCAACCCGTGTTTCCTCTCCATCCCCAGTCCCCTCCAGGATTTAAGCCTCTGTTCCCTAGCTGTTCCTCACCCAAGACGGGCCAAATGGATGTTCTCATAGACCTGGATTTCGGGTTTGAACTGAGGAATCGAGGCATCTGGGGAGAAGGAGCCATCAGGGATACAGAAGAGAAGTCAGCAGACAACTTAGAGCCGTGTTCCTCGCCCCCTCCCCTAGAGGAGGTGGGGTACAGAGGCAGGGTGTGAGCCTAGCCCTTTGCCTCCCACCCATGTGCCCTCTTCTTTCCCCGGGGAGGGAGGGACTCACCTCTGCCTGGAGCCCCACGGACCCTCTGCCTCCAGAGCACGATGCTGAGGGCCAGGATGACAACTCCCTGGCCCATTGTGAGCAGCAGCATCAGAATCCAAGGCATGTCCCAGCCCGTGGAAGGGGCACAGAGGGCAGGAGAAGCATCGATGGAGGCTGTAGTAAGGGCCAGACCAGAGGGATGGGAGGGAGGTAGTGAGGGGCCCTGTCCCTGTGCCCCAAAGAGAGGCTTCCCCTCCACAGTCTGGTGGGCTCTTCCAACAGAAGACTTTGTAAGCTTCCCTGCCCACAATATCCTCCACCCTACTCTGCCCCTTTCCAGGCCTCTCACCCTGACCCATAGAGAATGGCGGCCAGGCACAGTGGCTCATGCCTGTAATTCCAGCACATTAGGAGGCCAAGGCGAGCAGACCACTTGAGGTCAGGAGTTCAAGACCAGCCTGGTCAACATGATGAAACCTCATCTCTACTGAAAGTATAAAAATTGAGGCCAGGCGCAGTGGTTCACACCTGTAATCCCAGCACTTTGGGAGGCCGAGGTGGGTGGATCACCTGAGGTCAGGAGGTCGAGACCAGCCTGACCAACATGGTGAAACCCCATCTCTACTAAAAACACAAAAAAGAGGCCGGGCGCTGTGGCTCACACCTGTAATCCCAGCACTTTGGGAGACCAAGGCGGGCAGATCACGAGGTCAGGAGATTGAGACTATCCTGGCCAACATGGTGAAACCCCGGCTCCACTAAAAATACAAAAATTAGCTGGACGTGGTGGCATATGCCTGTAATCCTAGCTACTCGAGAGGCTGAGGCAGGAGAATCACTTGAACCAGGGAGTCAGAGGTTGCAGTGAGCCGGGATTGCGCCACTGCACTCCAGCCTGGCGACAGAGAGAGACTCTGTCTCAAAAAAAAAACAAAAAAAAACACACACACACACACAAAAGTTAGCCAGGCGTGGTGGCAGGCACCTGTAGTCCAGCTACTCAGGAGGCTGAGATGGGAGAATAGCTTGAACCCAAGAGGCAGAGGTTGCAGTGAGCCAAGATCGTGCCACTGCATTCCAGCCTGGCCAACAGAACAAGTCTCCATCCCAAAAAAAAAAAAAAAAAAAAAAAAAAAAGGCCAGGCGTGGTGGCTCACACCTATAATCCTAACACTTTGGGAGACTGAGGCAGGCAGATCATGAGGTCAAGAGATCAAGGCCATCCTGGCCAACATGGTGAAACCCCGTCTCTACTAAAAATACAATTTTTTTTTTGAGATAGAGCTTCGCTCTTGTTGCCCAGGCTGGAGTGCAATGGCGTGATCTTGGCTCACTGCGCCCTCCACCTCCCAGGTTCAAGTGATTCTCCTGCCTCAGCCTCCCGAGTAGCTGGGGTTAGAGGCATGTGCCACCATACCCGGCTAATTTTGTATTTTTAGTAGAGACAGAATTTCTCCATGTTAGTCAGGCTGGTCTTGAACTCCCAACCTCAAGTGATCCGCCTGCTTCGGCCTCCCAAAGTGCTGGGATTACAGGATTGAGCTACCATGCCTGGCCTAATAATAATAAAATAAAATAAAATAAAATAAAAAGTAGAGAATGGCAATGCCCCCTGCTCACGCATGGGCAACCAACTACAGAGCAGACCACCAGCCATAACCACACTTTCCCCTCACACCCTTTATAGTAATTCACCCTTTCTTTCAAGAAAAAATAGCCAGATGTGATGGCTCATGCCTGTAACCCCAGCACTTTGGGAGACCAAGATAGGAGGATCATTTGAGGCCAGTAGTTTGAGACCAGACTGGGCAACATAGCAAGATCCTGTCTCTACAAAAAATTTAAAGGTGCGGTGGCTCATGCCTATAATCCCAGCACTTTGGGAGACTGAGGCAGGCAGATCACTAGAAGTCAGGAGGTTGATACCAGCCTGGCCAAAATGGTGAAATCTCGTCTCTACTAAAAGTACAAAAAATTATCCAGGCATGGTGGCAGGCGCCTGTAATTCCAGCTACTTGGGAGGCTGAAGTGAAAGAACATCCCTTTCCGTCTCCTTCCTCAGTTTACCTGCCAGGCTAAAGCTGACCCCTTTGTTGTGAGTCATGAGGCAGCGGATGATTCTTGGTCTTCGGCTCCTGGGCTCAGAAAGCCCCTCCCCAGGACACACCAAGAGCAGGGCAGCCTCACTGCCCCAGAAGGACTGAACACGGCCCCTCACGGGACCCTTCCCTTCCTGCCAGGTCACAGAGTCCATGCGTCTGCTGGGGACCACAGAGCACAGGAGGACATTGCAGGGGGATCCATCTGCAGCCCTTGCAGATAACTGGGATCCTGTAGGGGAGAGAGGGATTCCTCAGTTCTTCACCTGGACTTCCTGGGCCACAGTAGCCCCTGGTCTGCATGCCCCCACTCACCTTTGAGCACCAAGACGTCGTACACCCTCCAGTTCTGGTAGTTGTGGTGCTGACCTAGCACAGTGCACCAGTACCGCCCGGCATCTTCCTCTTTGGATCCCTCCAACCACAAAGAATAGTTCCCCAGCAGTCTGAGCCTGGATTCCCTTCCTGGTTTTCCAGGGTCTGGGGCTGGCCTGCCCACTTGGACTTGGGCTACCAGGGTGGTGAAGGAGCCTGCTGCAGGGCTGCAGAACCATGACAGGTGTTCGTCCCCATGTAGAGTAGGTGGTGAGGGACATGGCAGCTCTACTGCCTCCCCCAAGGCCACATAGATGGCCTGCATGTTGTCTGTGGGAAGAGGGTTGTATGAGGCCAGAGACCTCCATCAGATCAATAACCCCCCATTTGATCTTCAACCCTGGCTTCCTTCCCTTCTGGGGTCCCCCAGCACAGGCCTGGCTGGTGACCACATTTCTCAAGTGACAGCTACAAAAATAAGACAGGTGGAGAGAAGAGGGTAAGGGCTTTCCTCCTCTCTCCCCCAGCCAGTGAGGGGGTCTGAGGGCAAGAGGGAAAAGGCTGAAAGTTGGCAAATGCCCACATCTCTTCTACTCATTTCTACTTTTCTGGAAGCATTTACTCATTCTTCTTATTTTATAAAGGAAACTGCATAACCTGGACCCTCGTTGCCTCTGGGTCTTCCCTAGTGTCAGAGGCAGGAGGAGGTTGGTTGGGGTAATTCTATCTTCTTGAGTCAGATGCCTTCGCCAGGCTCCTAGGAGAAAGAGCAGTAGTCCCTCCCCAACCTTGCAAATAGCTAAGGAATCCCGTACCTCTTGCCCCTTACCTGCAGCCTGGGGAGTTCCACATAGGAACAGGAGGAGGAATAAGACTGCCATGGGGAGAGCCTGCCAAGTTCTCTTGCTCCAAGACCTGGTGTCCCCAGGGAGGAAGCAGAGTCCAGATAAAGGCCCACACTCGCTGGTCTGGAGTGACAAGGGGCTCTGGAGGGGATGGGAATGCTGGGGCGATAAAGCCCAGCAGCATGTCTACTAGGGATAAAGTGACCACCACTTTTCTATCCTGGAGAGAAAAGGACCCAGCCCAGGCCACTCTGAAGATGACCTTTTTGCTCTTCTGATTCCACATCAGCTAAGGGGCTCAAATAAAGACTTTCCATGCAAAAAACCATGCAGAGAAGTGGTCCTGCCTGTCTAGCTCTTGTCAGTCTGGAAGTACATTCTGAGGTCTCTTTCACTCCTAAGAAAGGTCAGCCATGAGTTGGGTGGATCACTTGAGGTCAGGAGTTCGAGACCAGCGTGGCCAACATGGCGAAACCCTGTCTCTACAAAAAATACAAAAATTAGCCAGGCGTGGTGACATGTGCCTGTAATCCCAGCTACTTAGGAAGCTGAGAGGCACCAGAATCGCTTGAACCCGGGAGGTGGAGGTTGCAGTGAGCCGAGATCGTGCTACTGCACTCCAGCCTGGGAGACAGAGCGAGACTTCATCTCAAAAAAAAAAAAAAAAAAAAAAAAGAAAAAGAAAAGAAAAGAAAAGAAATGTCAGCTATGAGTGAAGAAACTGAGTTTGAGTTTTTATGTTGGTCCTCCACAGAACCCAGCACAAGACTGTGTATCGAGTCAGTGTCCCGTAAATGATTTGGAATGACTTTCCCTGTGGTTGTCTGGCATACCCCGGACCTCTCCTGAAACCCTAATAAGTGTATTAAATTATTACTCAGGGACAAGGCTAACGGGCTGATTCATCCTTCTGAACGGCAAAAACTCCTAAGGCAGATCTTCATGCAGTTATTACAGTTTTAATGTGTAATTTATTTATTTTTAAAATTATTTTGATGAAATATTCCATACATACCAAAAACTATATGAAGTACAACTATATAATGGATAAATGCTTAACAGAGTAGAAGACTGGACAGCAATGAGAATGAACAAACCTAGTGATTTGCAACAAAGTTGAATCTCACAATATAATGAGAGTAAAAGAAGCCTGGCCAGGCATGGTGGCTCATGTCTACAATCCTAACACTTTTGGAGGCCAAGGTGGGAGGGTTGATTGAAGCCAGAAGTTTGAGGTTGGGCAACAGAGCAAGACCCCAACTCTGAAAATAAAGGCCAGATGCCGTGGCTCACGCCTGTAATCCCAGCACTTTGGGAGGCTGAGGCAGGCGGATCACGAGGTCAAGAGATCGAGACTATCCTGGCCAACATGGTGAAACCCTGTCTCTACTAAAAATACAAAAATTAGCTGAGTGTGGTGGTGGATGCCTGTAGTCCCAGCTACTCAGGAGGCTGAGGCAGGAGAATCGCTTGAACTCAGGAGGCAGAGGCTGCGGTGAGCAGAGATCATGCCACTATACTCCAGCCTGGTGACAGAGCGAGACTCCGTCTCAAAAAAATAAATAAATAATAAATAAATAAATAAATAAATAGAATATTCCAGGCCGGACTCGGTTGCTCATGCCTGTAATCCCACCACTTTGGGAGGATGAGACAGGCGGATCACCTGAGGTCAGGAGTTCAAGACCAGCCTGACCAACATGGAGAAACCCCATCTCTACTAAAAATAAAAAAATTAGCAGGGCATGGTGGTACATGCCTGTAATCTCAGCTACTTGGGAGGCTGAGGCAGGAGAATCGCTTGAACCCCAGAGGCAGAGGTTGTGGTGAGCCGAGATCGGGCCATTGCACTCCAGCCTGGGCAATAAGAGCGAAACTCGGTCTCGAAAAAAAAAAAAGAAAAAGAAATAGAATATTCCAGGCCAGGCACAGTGGCTCATGCCTGTAATCCCAGCACTCTGTGAGGCCAAAGCAGGAGGTTCACTTGAGCCCAGGAGTTCGAGACCAGCCTGGGCAACATGGTGAGACCTTGTAAAATTAGCCGAGTATGGTGGTGTGGGCCTATAGTCCCAGCTACTCAGGAGGTTGAGGCAGAAAGATGGTTGAGCCCAGCAGGTGGAGGATCAGGGCAGTGAGCCGTGATTGTGCCACTGTGCTCCAGCCTGGGTGAAAGAGCTAGACCCTGTCTCAAAAAAAAAAAAAAAAAAAAAAACAGAAAAAAAGAATATTCCGTTTCAGTCAGAGATCCTCTATGCTGTGTAACCACAATTCTGAATTTTCTCTTTCTTCTCCACTTGCTTTATCATTAAATTTTATGTGTTTTTGAATCTAATATACTAGTATCACGTATACATTCTTCTGTGGCTTTCTATTTTCACTCAGCATCATGGTTTTAAGATCCAGTTCATGCATAACAGTAATGATTCATTTATTTTCTTTTTACAAATATTCCGCATATCTTACTGTGCTGAATTTTCGTATCCAGGACCATGGTGTAGCTTTCCATTTATTGAAAAGCTTTTCGTTTACCTCTTTCTTTTTTTATTTTTTCAATTATTATTGTTATTATTTTGAGGCAGGGTCTGGCTCTGTCACCCAGGCTGGAGTGCATGGAGCGATCTCAAACTCCCGGGCTCAAGCGACCCTCCCACCTTGGCCTCCCAAGTAGCTGGGACTACAGGTGGGCACCACCACACCCTGCTAGGTCTTTTTTTTTTCCCCCTTGGTATTTTGTGTAGAGATGGGGTCTCACTATGTTGCCTGGGCTGGCTTGGAACTCCAGGGCGCAAGCAATCCTCTCTCAGCCACCCCAAGTGTTGGAATTACAGGCATGAGTCATGGCCTGGAACTCCTGGACGCAAGCAATCATCCCTCGGCCACCCAAAGTGTTGGAATTACAGGCGTGAGCCACCGCGCTGGGCCAGTTTACCTTTATTTATTTATTTAGAGACAGAGTCTTGCTCTGTCACCAAGGCTGAAGTGCAGTGGGAAGATCTCGGCTCACTGCAACCTCTGCCTCCCGCGTTCAAGCGATTCTCGCGTCTCGGCCTCCCGAGTAGCTGGGATTACAGGCGCGCACCACCCATGCCAGGCTAATTTTTGTATTTTTAGTAGAGATGGGGTTTCACCATGTTGGCCAGGCTGGTCTCGAACTCCTGGCCTCAAGTGATCCCCCCGCCTCGGCCTCCCAAAGTGCTAGGACTACAGGCGTGAGCCACTGCGCCGGGCCGGGCCAGTTTGCCTTTTCAATAACTTTTTATAGTTTTCTTCATAAAACCTTGCATTTCTTGTACTAGATACATTCCTAGACACCTTATGTTTTCGGTTACTCTTATCAAGTACTCCTAATCTCACCCCTCGTTTCCGCTGTCGCTCTAGAGTCTGCCAATAATGAGACAGAAAAAAATTATTGAACCATGCCCGGTAATTTTCTGATTCTCCGCGTTCTAGTGGTCTTCCACTAGTTTCGGACCACTGCTGTACCCGTAGCTCCAACTGCGCGAAACTCTTCTCAGGAAGCACTGAAAATGTCGCAACTCGCCCGGAGGCGGAGCCGGTACGGGCTGACGTCAAGGGCACACAACACCTCAGAGGCAGGGAGGGCGGGGCCGGCAGGGGGACCTGCTGCTGGAAGAGCAGCGGCCCGAGCCGGGGCCATGGCGAAGCTGCTGAGCTGCGTCCTAGGCCCCCGGCTCTACAAAATCTACCGGGAGAGGGACTCTGAAAGGGCCCCGGCCAGCGTCCCTGAGACGCCAACGGCAGTCACTGCCCCCCATTCCAGCTCCTGGGTGAGTCGAGTTCCTCCCCACCGAAGAACGTGGTACAGTCCAAACCCTTTACGGCCTTTTGCTCCCCAGAAGTGCCCATAATGGGAAATAAGGGGAGCCTGCTTGTCAAGCCAGTTATCCGCAAAATCTGCGCTCTGTGTGCTTCCTGAGTTAAAGTCACGCCTACGGACTGGCCGCCTCCTTTCTTTTTCGCTCTTTACCGCTTTCTCATTCCGACTGCCACTCTTTGTTCTTTCCTCTCCGCGTCCCCCCGACCCTGTGTGTCGTGGTTCGTGCCGGTCCCAGTTGAGTCTTGAGTCCCGGGAAGAGACCCTGCGCGGACTGGGGAGCCGTTGAATTTTGCTGTCAGACTCCCAGTTTCCTCTTCTTCAGTGCCTCTTCATGCCTCCCCCGGCTCTGTTTTTATCTTCCCTTTACCCTCGCCTTGAATTTCAGAATGACTTTTACAGATCCTGTATCCGTCGGTCCTCCCCTCAACCCCCGCCCAACCTAGCCTGGAGACCCGAGTCATTGTATTCTGGAGAGCTGGCGGGTGGTGGTAGGCTGTTCTAAATATTCTCTTCCTTTTTATCAGTTGTCTCATTGTGTTACTGTCTCCTACAAACTGCCCGCTCCTACCCACATTCTCTTCTTAGTCAACTACTCTTATTTCTGATGCTTTTCTTTCCTTCTTAGATTGTCTAGGTGTCTTTTCTTTCTTCTCAAACTAACCCTTCTCCCCACATGCACGCGCCTGCAATCCATTTGAAACTAGGCTGTGGAAAAGGAGCAAAAATCGTCCAATGCTGCTTTCACTTTTGCTTCCAAATCCAGCTCCCTGTGTTTGTTCCCATGGTCAGGGGTGGGAAATTAGGTTCAGAGTGAGGGTGAGGAAGAGGAGTTTCTGTGGGGGCCAGGGATGTTTCAAGAGAGATAGTCAACGAGACTAGAACCAGAGGACACACAGCAGGGCTTCTGAAAGGGAAGGGAAAGGACCTGCCAGTGGGCAGGGTCCTTAAGGAGGCCATCTGTTTTGGCAGGATACGTACTATCAGCCCCGTGCCCTGGAGAAACATGCTGACAGCATCCTGGCACTGGTATGTCTACCCTGGCATCTGGGACTCTGCATCTTTCAGACCCACCTGTCCTCTTGAACTTAGCCCTCCCTAACTTGGGAGCAACAGTGCCCTGGGGTTGGGGGATGCCCTGGGCTCTGCAGCAGACCTCTCCAACACAGACACACAGGCACACTCTAAATGTGCATACTTGGCACTCCCCTTTGGTATGTAGCACTGCTTTCTCTGGGGGCAACCTGAGCCGTAAGGAAAACATGTTTACTCTTGGGACCATCTGCAGGTGCTAAGTCCTGCAGTTCCCCAGTGACCTGTCCTCCCTGGCAACTAACCTCTTTGGCTGCAGGGACAGCTGTTCTTTCTGGCACAGTTCCTGTGGTGACGTTTGCGCATCTCTTGGGGACCAGGCCAGGGGCTGTCCTGAGCAGGGCCAATTGAAAAGGCTTGATTAACTTGAGTAGACAGAGAGACTGCCTTTAAATGTGATGGAATTATGTCTGGAGATGGAAGACATAATTCTTCCATAATTCCAGAGGAAGAAAATAGAGCCTGTACCAAATTTTCCCAGCCTCCATTACATTGACACACTACTTTTCAACAAATACTGAGCACCTACTGTATTCATGGTGTCATACACCAAATATGATATGATATCCCTCAGGTTGTCCATCTTGCTCAGAGTGTATAGTATATGCCTGGAATGGCAGGTGTGTGTGTGTGTGTATTGATTGCCTGTCCCTGTCTCTCTGCTGCAGGCTTCAGTATTCTGGTCCATCTCTTATTACTCCTCTCCCTTCGCCTTCTTCTACTTGTACAGGAAAGGTCAGTGTGGTTTCAAAGGTGGTGGGGTAGCAAATGGGCAGGTTGTTGGCAGATGAGCCAGCTCCCTAAAGAGGAGAGGGGACCTGTGAAGATGGCTTGGCTTCCCTCTTCCATCAGGCATCTTCTTCCTCTTAGGGTATGGCTGTTCCAAACAGGGAGTGTGGGGTGGAGGTTGGGGCTGAACTGGGAAGAGGAGCTGAGGGACATTGCGGAGAGGGTCTCACATTGTCCCTCTCCCTTCCCAGGTTACTTGAGTTTGTCCAAAGTGGTGCCGTTTTCTCACTATGCTGGGACATTGCTGCTACTTCTGGCAGGTGTGGCCTGCCTCCGAGGTAGGTGGAGAGGAAACCTGGTTTGAATCTTATCTGTCACTGTCACTGGTTAAAAATTAAGTACCTTGTGCAAATACATTTTAGTGATGGGCCTCCGAGAGGGAATCATTGAGAATGGTTTAAGGCATGATCTTTTCCTTAAAAGACTTGGGTTATAAATATAAAAAATTACTGAAAAGTAACAAAAAGGTTTGCTTTTTTTTTTTTAAGAGATAGGGTCTCACCATGTTGTCCAGGCTGGTCTCAAACTCCTGAACTCAAAGTGATCCTCCCACCTCAGCCTCCCGAAGTACTGGGATTATAGATGTGAGCCACTATGCCTGGCTGCTTTTATCTAGAAAAGATGCATATACCCTACAACAATTCTATATATGTATACATACTAGGAAAACTCCTGCACATGTATAAACAATATAGATGTACAAGAATACAGCATACAACATTGTTTGTAATAATCCTAAGCTGGAAACAACTCCAGTGGCTACAAATAGTAGGATGGATAAAATATGTTCTGTGTGGCCGGGTGTGGTGGCTCATGCCTGTAATCCCAGCACTTTGGGAGGCAGAGGCCAGTGGATCACGAGGTCAGGAATTTGAGACCAGCCTGACCAACATGGTAAAACCCCGTCTCTACCAAAAATACAAAAATTAGCTGGGCATGGTGGCACATGCCTGTAATCCCAGCTACTTAGGAGGCTGAGGCAGGAGAATAGCTTGAACCTGGGAGGCAAAGGTTGCAGTGAGACGAGATTGCGCTACTGCACTCCATCCTGGGCAACAGAGCAAGACTCCGTCTCAAAAAAAAAAAAAAGTTCCATGCAATAGCCATGCAAGAGAACACTATATAGCAATGCAAATGAACAAACTGTAGCTACGCTCAACAACGCAGATGAAGCCAGGTGCAGTGGCTCATGCCTGTAATCCTAGCAGTTTGGTAGGCTGAAGCAGGCAGATCACCAGAGGTCAGGAGTTCAAGACCAGTCTGTCCAACATGGTGAAACCCCGTCTCTACTAAACATACAAAAAAAAATTAGCCAGGTATGGTGGTGAGCACCTGTAATCCCAGCTATTCGGGAGGCTGAGGCAGTAGAATTGCTTGAATCCAAGAGGCAGAGGTTGCAGTGAGCCAAGATTGCGCTACTGTACTGCATCCTGGGCAACAGAGCAAGGCTCCATCTCAGAAAAAATAAAATACAAAAAATTAACTGGGCATGGTGGCACATGCCTATAGTCTTAACTGCTTGGGAGGCTAAGGCATGAGAACTGCTTGAACCTGGGAGGCAGAGGTTGCAGTGAGCCAAGATAGCACCACTGCACTCCAGTCTGGGTGACAGAGCGAGACTCTGTCTCCAGATAAACAAAAGCAATGCAGATGAATTTCTCAAATGTTGTGTTAAATAGAAGAAGCTAACCACAAAATAATGTATGCAGTATGTTTTCATTTATATAAAATTCAAAAGGGATGTGCATGTTTGAGGTAGAACACCGAAGACAACAAGGGCATGGTTTTCTTTTTTTTTTTTTTTTTTTTTTGAGACGGAGTCTCGCTCTGTCCCCCAGGCTGGAGTGCAGTGGCGCGATCTCGGCTCACTGCAAGCTCCGCCTCCCGGGTTCACGCCATTCTCCTGCTTCAGCCTCCCGAGTAGCTGGGACTACAGGCGCCCACCACCACACCCGGCTAGGTTTTTTTTTATTTTTTAGTAGAGATGGGGTTTCACCGTGTTAGCCAGGATGGTCTCAATCTCCTGACCTCGTGATCCACCCGCCTCGGCCTCCCAAAGTGCTGAGATTACAGGCTTGAGCCACCGCGCCCAGCAAGGGCATGCTTTTCTCAAAAGTTAGGAGAGTGATTACCTGGGGTGGGGGAGAACAGAGTGGGGGAGAGCCCTGCTGAGAGGTGGCTGTGTTCTCTTTGTTGACCTAGGTGATAGTCACATGAATGTTTGCTTTGTATTTTTTAAACTGAATATATGTTTTATGTACATATGTTGTATCTCGCAATTTAAAAAAATAAAGAGGACAGATCACCTACCCCTAGTGGGTACATAAGATGACAACCAGGTGATGGGCGATGCTTCAACATGGGGGTGGTGGGGTCAGGGCTGGATGGTCACAGTTGGGTCCAGGACCTTCTGCCTGAGGTGTTCTGCCCCCTGATCTCTGCAGGGCTGGGCTCTCTCCTCAGAGAGGCCTTCCCTGACCACCCTGTCTAAAAGTAGCTCCCACTGCTCAGTTTTGTCTTAGTTTTTTATTTTATTTATTTTTAATTTAGAAAAAATACAGAAAAAATTAGCTGTGCATGGTGGCGGGCGCTTGTAATCCCAGCTATTTGGGAGGCTGTGGCAGGAGAATCACTTGAACCCGGGAGGCGGAGGTTGCAGTGAGCCGAGAGCACATCATTGCACTCCCGCCTGGGCAACAAGAGCAAAACTCTGTCTCAAAAAAAAGAAAAAAGAAAAAATACAGAAAAGTCCAGAGAACAAAATATAAAAGCCTTTTTAAATTTTTTGATGTATAGTTTTGTGATTTTTTTTTTATATATAGTTTTGTGATATTTGCTTTAAATGCTTTCTGTCAACAAAATACTAAAGCACCACAGTTAGGGTTGGAGTTCCCATTGGAATCCTTTCAGTCCCATCTTCCTCTTTCCTCAGAAGTAATAATTGTCATTTGGTGTGGGTTTTTTTTTTTTTCTGGCACATACTTTTATGAAACATATACCTCAGTTCCTCAAGTCTAAGCTGCCATCAATTGTAAAATGAATTCTAATTTCAGAGTTTTCAAGGGTTAAAAAATATACATTTTAGAATCTATGAAATATGGTATCTATAAGCAGTATGTATTATTTTGCACATTTTACATTTTTGGCATAAATGTTGTACAAATCATTCTGCAGCACACATCATTCTCTCATCATATCGTTTTGGGGGAATACCATTGATGACACATAAAGTTCTGGTTCATTCTTGTTGTATTTTCTCTGTAGCACTTATCCCTCTCTGAAATGTTGTTTATTGTCTTCTCCTGGCTGTACCTAACCCCAACCAGAATGCCAGCTCTCTGAGAGCCAGGAGCTGTGTATCTCATTTCCTGCTGAGTCTCCCGTGTGTAGTACGGTGCCTGTCTGACACACGACACCTGCCAAGTCAGTGAGGAGAGAAGTTAGGGTTTGAGGTGGCTCAGCAGTGAAAGGAGAGTGGATGCAATCACTGACTGTGTAAGTGAAAAGAGAGAGGAGAGAGAGTCAGCACTGAGAGTTGCTTCTGCTTCAGAAAGGAAAGCAGAAAGGAGGCAGGAGAGGAACTGTTCAGGAACTGGAAGGAGTCAAGGATGGGCCCAGGAAGCAGAGGCAGGAAGAATCTTGAGGGACAGGGAGAATGCTGAGTAGTACAGTTGAAGAGAATGAGGATAGAAGAGTCAGGAATTCAGTGAGGAAGTAATTATGGGCAGGAGTCGGAGACTCTGAAGCCAGATGGCAAGGGGCTAGAATATACAGAAAAGAGGCAGAAAGCAAACATTGGAGAAGAGTGGCAGTGAAAAATAGAGAAATTTGATATTCGCAAGGGAGAATAGTATTATATGATAGTGTTTAATAGTGTCATTTAATAGGTTATATGACAGTGTTTAAAGACTGAGGAAGAGGAACATTCTGGAAGATGGTAGGTTAAGGATTGTCTATAAAGACACAAACTGCAGAAGCTAGGGAGAAGAAGCGTCCTGTAGCCAGTTGCTGGATTTGGAGGAAGGGGGTTGGCTCACATCTATTTCTCCGCATCCTATGCCCTCAGTTCCTTTTTCTTTCACTTTTTCTTACAGGGCCTTCTTCTAGCCCATCTCCAATTCTTTTCCTAAAACCTAGGCTTTCTGCTTCCCAGTTTTCCTAGCACTGTTTCCTGTCCTTTTTCTACCAGGCATTGGCCGCTGGACCAACCCCCAGTACCGGCAGTTCATCACCATCTTGGAAGCAACACATCGGAACCAGTCTTCAGAAAACAAGGTGAGAGGCCCTAGGAAAAGTGCCACACAGGCACCCAATAGCAGCTTTCTCAGTTGTCCCTCAGAGCACCAGACACTGGCTTCTGCAGGAAGAGGAGGTGTGTTTTACCACCCACCACACTGGGTGTTTGCTTGCACATTGCTGTATCCCTTCTCACCTCCATTAGTGAACTGTCCACCTGAGGAATTTTTCCTCCCTACCACTTCTAATGGAATATTCTGCTAGAACAATCTTCCCCCTCCCTCACCTGTAAGAACTGGCTAAACTAGAAACATTCCACAATGTTTCTTTTTTCTTTTTCTTTTTTTTTTTTTGAGATGGAGTTTCGCTCTTGTTGCCCAGGCTGGAGTGCAATGGCACGATCTCGGCTCACTGCACTCTCCACCTCCCAGGTTCAAGTGATTCTCCTGTCTCAGCTTCCTGAGTAGCTAGGATTACAGGCACGCACCACCCACACCCTCTAATTTTTGTATTTTTTGTAGAGACGGGGTTTCACCATGTTGGCCAGGCTGGTCTCCAACTCATGACCTCAGGCGATCTGCCTGCCCCAGCCTCCCAAAGTGCTGGGATTACAGGCGTGAGCCACCACTCCTGGCCTCTTTTTTTTTTTTTCTTCTTTGAGACAGAGTCTCACTCTTACTCAGGCTGGAGTATAGTGGTACAATCTCAGTTTACTACAACCTCCAACTCCCGGGTTCAAACAATGCTCATGCCTCAGCCTCCTGAGTAGCTGGAATTACAGGTGCACACCACCACGCCCAGTTAATTTTTTTTTTTTTTTTTTGAGACGGAGTCTCACTCTGTCGCCCAGGCTGGAGTGCAGTGGCGCCATCTCAGCTTACTGCAAGCTCGGCCTCCCGGGTTCATGCCATTGTCCTGCCTCAGCCCCCTGAGTAGCTGGGACTACAGGCGCCTGCCACCACGCCCGGCTAATTTTTTTATTTTTAGTAGAGACGGGGTTTCACCATGTTAGCCAGGATGGTCTTGATCTCCTGACCTTGTGATCCGCCTGCCTCGGCCTCCCAAAGTGCTGGGATTACAGGCGTGAGCCACCGTGCCTGGCCAATTTTTGTATTTTTAGCAGAGACAGGGTTTCATCATGTTGGCCAGGCTAGTCTTGAACTCCTGACTGCAGACGATCTGCCTGCCTTGGCCTTCCAAAGTGCTGGGATTATAGGTGTGAGCCACTGTGCCTGGCCCACAGTGTTTCTTTTTTTTTCTTTTGAGATGGAGTTTCGCTCTTGTTGCCCAGGCTGGCGTGCAATGGCATGATTCCAGCTCACTGCAACCTCCGCCTCCTGGGTTCAAGCGATTCTCCTGCCTCAGCCTCCCAAGTAGCTGGGATTACAGGCATGCGCCACCACGCCCAGCTAATATTGTATTTTTAGTAGAGATGGGGTTTAGCTGTGTTGGTCAGGCTGGTCTCAAACTCCTGACCTCAGGTGATCCACCTGCCTTGGCCTCCCAAAGTGCTGGGATTACAGGTGTGAGCCACTGCACCCAGCCCACAATGTTTCTTAGAAGGTAGTTTTCTCTGTATCACAGCAGCTCAGTTCTATAAATGTTTAATTTTGTTGTATGCATTGAATACCATGCTATCCTTGTTTGTGGATGGGACAAGGTGGACAGGTGTGTCCACTCCTATGCCTGGGAGTACAGCATGGTGCCAGGAGGGAGAAAAGCTAGGGCTCAGTGTCTTGGGAATTATGCCAAGCCGGCTGGTGCTGGACTGTGATTATCTTTGAGGATGGGCTTTGGGGCCCCATAAAGCTCTTTTCTGTTATGGGAGGTTTCTAGGATCAAACAGCTATGACCACCATCATCACATTCCTGGCTACTCCACACTATGGAGCTGCGTAATGATGCCCTGTACTATGCTACTGGCTGAAGCATTTGGCACACACCCTTTCTGATCCTCACAACAGCTGAGTGAGGTGGCATTATTACCTTTATTTGTAAATGTGAGAAAACAGAGGCAAAAAGAGGTTAAGTGACCCATTCGGAGTCATAGAGCAAGAAAGTGGCTAAGTCCAGATTTGAGAGCAGGTCTGAGCAAAGCCTGCCTGAAATTTGCTTTTAGTCATCTTGTTTTGTTTTGCCATTTACCTTTTTGTATAATTTTTCTATTGCTCTCTGTTAGTCAAATTATTTTTGAAATGTCAAAAAATTTCTGTGCAGAAAATAAAAACCCTCAAAATAGAGTGCTAGGAGCTCAGGGGGTGGGGGACGAATATAGTCAAGTATTAAGACACAGCTAGGCCGGGCGCGGTGGCTCACACCTGTAATCCCAGCACTTTGGAAGGCCGAGGCGGGTGGATCACGAGGTCAGGAGATCAAGACCATCCTGGCTAACATGGTGAAACCCCATCTCTGCTAAAGGTACAAAAATTAGCCGGGCATGGTGGTGGCAGGCACCTGTAGTCCCAGCTACTTGGAGGCTGAGGCGGGAGAATGGCGTGAAGCCGGGAGGCAGAGCTTGCAGTGATCCGAGATCGCGCCACTGCACTCCAGCCTGGGCGACAGAGTGAGACTCCATCTCAAAAAAAAAAAAAAAAAAAAAAAAAAAAGACACAGCTCCCACTGCCGTCAAAAAACGTGGAGCTGGTGAGGTGGTTCATGCCTATAATCCCAGCACTTTCGGAAGCCAAGGCAGGAGGATCGCTTCAGCCCAGGAGTTGGAGACCAGCCTGGGCAACATAGTAAGACCTTGTCTCTAAAGAAAATTTTAAAAATTAGCTGGGCATGGTAGCACATGTCTGTAGTCCCAGCTACTCCAGAGGCTAAGGTAGGAGGATCACTTGGGCCTGGGAGTTTGAGGCTGCAGTGAGCTATGATTGCACCAACTGCATTCCAGCCTGGGCAACAGCACGAGACCCTGCCTCAAAAAAAAAAAAAAAGGCATGTGGACTGGCTCAGTGGGGTGGCCCGAGGTTCGGATGGGCTGTAGGGCAACACTGATCCATGGCTGCAGGAGTTGAGGAAGGGATGTAGTTGTGAGGATGGAAGTCAGAGCTTCCTTCAACGGGTGGCCCCACATGGCAGAGGAGCCCACTGTGGGCGTGACTTCCCTCCTCTCTGTCTCACTCAACCTTGGGTCTGTCAGTGTGATCTGCTGGGAGATTTCTAAGCTTCTAAGACAGCACCCTATAAGGGACCCAGGTGGGGAATAGACCGTGACCAGCCAGCGACCCCTACTACCCGTCACTCAAAAGCACTAGCACCTTCAGCCACTCCTCCTGGGGGTGGGTCAGACTTAGTTTTTTAGAAAAGCAGAGTGTTAGGTTCTTAGCTTGGAAGAGGGCAGACAGGCCAGTCCTGATACCTGATGGGGCATACCATCTCCCCTGATTTTCTGGTCCTGTTAGAATTTTCCATCTGAGAATTGGGAGGGTATTGACCTCCGCTTGGTTTCCCCATGATGTGTGGGGATCAGACCCCTGGATAACGAAGGTGTTGTTGAGGGTGGGTAGGAGAGCCTCCCCTGAGTTCTCAGTACCCCTTTGCCTCTCGTGCCCACTGCAGAGGCAGCTTGCCAACTACAACTTTGACTTCCGGAGCTGGCCAGTCGACTTCCACTGGGAAGAACCCAGCAGCCGGTGAGGCCCCAGTTCTTTTGCTGTATCTCTCCCCTTAGAACCATTCCAGAAAATCTCTGCTCTGCCCTCCCACCTCCATGCCCTCTCAGGTCACAGTGCCTGCCTTCCAATGCCATTATGTCGTTCCTAGACCCCACTGTTCTCCAGACCTCAGACATCCAGCTTGCTGCTCCTGACCCTATCCTTCCCTGCATCTTTCCCTTCCTCAGGAAGGAGTCTCGAGGGGGCCCTTCCCGCCGGGGTGTGGCCCTGCTTCGCCCAGAGCCCCTGCACCGGGGGACAGCAGACACCCTCCTCAACCGGGTTAAGAAGCTGCCTTGTCAGATCACCAGGTGGGAAACAGCAGCGAGGAGAGGCCCACTGGGGTGGAGGGGCCATTTCAGGAGTGCTCTGGGAGTGGGCGCTCCATTGTAAAATAGCTGTCACTCATTGGGCCTAGTGCTGTATGGTTTGTGTAGATCATTTATGGCAAAGTCATTTTTATCCATATTTATGTTTGAAGAAAAGAGGCTCAGAGAGGTCTGGAGTCTCAAATGTAGTAAGTAAAGAACTGGGATATGAACAAAAGCTCCTTCAGTGAGGCTGAAAAGGAGCAGTGGGGGTGGGGTGGGGGTGGGGAGGACACACACTTGTAGCTAGGGCAGGCTCTGGTAGCATCTGTGTACCCATCGTGGCCCCTCTGCCCTGTTGTTATTCCACCTTGGCTCCGGGCCCCTGTGTGCCTCAGTGTCTGCACCTGTGATGAACCTGCCCTGCAAGGTTGCTGAGGAGATTAAGTAAGGTAACATGTTCTGAAGGGCTCCTGCCTTGCCTGGGTGCTTGAGAGCACATGGTAAATCCCAAATAAAGCTCAGTCGTGGGTACTGATGATGTCAGAAGGAACGGAAATAACCACCTATATCTTATAGTGGAACAGACACTGGGAATTTTCTTTTGCTGGGAGTTAGGAGGCAGCTTCTAGAATACCAAGGAACAGGGTGGACTTAGTGGTTGGTTGTTGACAGTGTGCTAATTAGTCAGGGAGGCAAGCCATATTTGAGGTTTTGAATTATAACCATCATTTTTTAAAGCATTATTTATTTGGGGACCTTTAATATGTTGTACTTATATTTTAACAGAATCATAATCTGATGATAACTTTGCATTTACTTATTATGTATAGACAGTTACATCATAAAACTCTCAGAATTCTGTACATACAGGATATGTGTGCACTGAGCCACAATATAAAATGTTTATCTTACAAAGGTTGCAGTAAGAAAAGTTTGCAAAACACTAGCCTGGTACATATTTCATTAAGGCTTGAAAGAGGAAAGTAAAGCTGTGAAGGTCAGGGGTAAAGCAGGCCTTACAGTCTGTGAGTGCTAGGGCTGGGATGGTCCCCAGCACAGTCCCCAGGCCTCACCAGGGTTGGGGTTTGTTAACCTGTGTTCCCCACAGCTACCTGGTGGCGCACACCCTAGGGCGCCGGATGCTGTATCCAGGCTCTGTGTACCTGCTGCAGAAGGCCCTCATGCCTGTGCTGCTGCAGGGCCAGGCCCGACTGGTGGAAGAGGTGAGGCTTCCCTGCCCGCACATCCCCTAAAGCCCTCCCCTCTCACCCCCACCCACCCCGCCCCACCCCTGTGATGTGGCCTCCTGACCCTTGCATCTTGGCCATTGCGTCTTCCGTACTCAGTGTAATGGGCGC
Organism: Homo sapiens; assembly: GCF_000001405.40. Lineage (NCBI taxonomy): Eukaryota > Metazoa > Chordata > Mammalia > Primates > Hominidae > Homo > Homo sapiens. The sequence continues at coordinate 2,990,957 of NT_167249.2, read as the reverse complement.
CGGGCAAAGCTGCTGGCCTGTGATGGCAATGAGATTGACACCATGTTTGTGGACCGGCGGGGGACAGCTGAGCCCCAGGGACAGAAGCTGGTAAGAGGGAGCAGAGAGCCCAGAGGTGGGGTGAGTGTGAGGAAGGCAGTAGAGGTCTGGGGACCCCAATGCTATAGCACCTCCCTGAAGGAACCACTACTGGGGATAATCTCATGTCCTAGCTCCACGCTAAAGACCTTGTGATGTAGTGAAACCCTGTGATAGAGAAACAGATGAAGTAGGAGAGACGTTCAAGGACGAGAAACTAATATTAATAGTTACCACTTTGACAGCACTTCACACTTATATATATTTAATTCTCATATATATATGAAGCATATATATTTAATTCTCAAAAGAATCCCGTGAGATAGGTACTGCTTATATTAGCCCATTTTACAGGAGATGAAACTGGGGCACAGAAAACCTTTCCTGGACCTCACAGTAAGTGGTAGAGCTGGTATTTGGACCCAGGCAGCCTGGCCTCAAAGTCTCCTACCTCCATGAAGCAGCCGTGGAAAGAGCGCTAAGCCAGGAGTCTAGGGAGCTGGGTTCTAGTCCTGGCTCTGCCCATCTGTTATGAGAGTTCATGCAAATCCCACCATTCGTGGGTTTCAGCTTGGGGCGCCATGGCATTACAGTTTATCTGACCATAAGACTGGAGCTCAGAGAGGGATAGGGAGAGCAATCAGCATACCACACAATAGCAATGGTCACAGAAGATAACAGACCCGAAAACGAGAAAGGAAAAACATCTCCATAGTCCCCTTCCTGAAAGAGATCCAGCTGGTAATCTTCCAAGGAAAAGACATGGCTGGGTGGTCGAGCAGGTCAGCCTCTGAGGAGTATTTGTAATCCCTTTGCTTCTCCTCTTATGGACCCTGTGGAATGAGAAGCTTCCATTCCCCTTGGAGAAAACAGAAACCTGCCCTTTCCTCTTCCCTGCAAAGCTCTTCATGGGCTGCCCTCCCTGCCCAAAGGGAGTTTTTCAGTCCCAACTTGGCCCCCCAGCCCTTCCTTCCTGCCTCCTTCCTAGGTGATCTGCTGTGAGGGGAATGCTGGGTTTTATGAGGTGGGCTGCGTCTCCACGCCCCTGGAAGGTAGGACGGTGACTCAGCCTCCTTATCTCCGCCCTTTGAAAGGGAATGTCCCTGCCTCCCACACTGACCTGACCTCCCCTGGCCTCTGCTTTCTCTGGGTGAGGTTTTGAGTCTCTCAGCTTTAGGGAAAAGTCCACTCGCCATTTGCTTTGATAACCTTACATCCCTCCCCTGGCCTGTGTCCCTAGCTATTATGCTTTTCATTCTGTTCCATTCCCCCACCACACACCCCACACAATCACATGCTGCTCCCTGTGCTGCCTCAGAACCTCTGGTGTCATCTCCTATTTCTGGGAAGGCTTGGAGTTATTTGCATCTAAGCTGGGGGGTACTTCTGCTCTTCCTTCCCCCAGGGATGGAGAAAGGGCTGTGGGCCACAAGGTCTCAGTCCCTCCTCCCCCTGTGTTACAGCTGGATATTCAGTCCTGGGCTGGAATCATCCAGGCTTTGCTGGAAGCACGGTGAGACCATCTCAGGAATCCCTTCCTTTTCCTGAATTATGTCTGTTTCCCTCTGGTCAGCCATTGGAGGGAGGAGAGGGGCTGTGGATTTCTTGAAGGCCTCCCACTCACCTGAGGGCTGGGGTCTAGGAGGTTGTGAAGGCAGCATTGGGAGCCATGCCCCCATCCCCACAGTGCGGGGCTAGCAGGAGAGGAGGAGGTAGATCTCATTGTACACATCCGTCTTCTGGAGAGAACAACCTCTCCTACCATCCCTTCCTTCTACACCTTCTCTGCCTGTCATAGGTGGCTGCAGGAGGGGTCCACGTTGGGAGGGACAGGTGAGCTGGCCTTTGGTGCTGACACACTCCTGACTTTGCCCTTTCTCCTGCAGGGGGTGCCATTCCCGCAGAATGAGGCTAATGCCATGGATGTGGTGGTCCAGTTTGCCATCCACCGCCTGGGCTTCCAGCCCCAGGACATCATCATCTACGCCTGGTCCATCGGCGGCTTCACTGGTACCAGCCTCCCTCCCATCCCCCACTGTAGACACATTCATGACCACCCAGCCCCACCCGGGAGAGGTGGGGAAATGGGGTGGGGTGGAGGCTCAAGGAAGAAGAGAGAGGAAGTAGAATCTCTGAGTGGGCCTGGAAGAAGCTATCCTATTTGCATACACTTCACCTTTCCTTCCCCTCTTGTGCCCAGTCATTAAAAGGAAAAGCAGACCCAGGTCCTGGGTGGGGAGATCAGGGAAAGTGAATGTTTCCTGCCCATTATCTTCAGTGCACTATCTCCAGTGTTCTATCCCCATCCTCTCCAGATAGTTCCCTAACCAAGTGAAGTAGGTTAAGAAAAAAACAAGGGATAACATAGGGGGAATGGGGTTGGCCTATAGGGTCAGTGGGATGAGAGCATGGGTGGTGGGGAGAAAGGAGCCTTTCTCAGTTCTTACTCTTCTTCCCTGCCCTGGTACCAGCCACGTGGGCAGCCATGTCCTACCCAGATGTTAGTGCCATGATCCTGGATGCCTCCTTTGATGACCTGGTGCCCTTGGCCTTGAAGGTCATGCCAGACAGCTGGAGTGAGTGCAGCTCCCAGGCCTGCCCTTCCTGGGAAGGGGTGGGCTGGAACTGGGAACTGTTCTGAGATGGCTCCCTTTTCTTGGGTGGGGAGTAAGTCGCCCCATTGTTGGAAGCAGGAGGACTCCTTTGTCTGGGGGCCTCAGTTTTCTTTCTCCGTGAATAGTGAGGACCTTTATGTTGGGCAAGGGCTTTGTCTCTGCCATCCCTTCACCTTTATCCCACTCTAGGGGGCCTGGTGACCAGGACCGTGAGGCAGCATCTCAATCTAAACAACGCGGAGCAGCTGTGCAGGTGAGGGCCGGCCAGCGTCCGGCATTGAACACCTGCCCCCCATACAGCTCTGCTGGGCGCTCAAACCCTGAAACTAGTACTAAAGTGCAAGTTGGTAAAAGGCCACTGGCTCACATCCTGAGTGACCCTGCCACCACCTCAACTGGCCTAACCCCTCCCAGGTCCCCTGGGACTCTGGACCACCTCAGGATCTGGCAACCAAAGGGTTAAGGCCTGGCACGGCAGGGGTCTCCCAGCAGGGCCAGACTGAACCATGCCCCTTAAATAATCCCCTCTCACCCCTGAGTGAAGGGCTAGGTCAAGGGCTGTGCTATAGCAAGGGGAGGGTAAGAATGCTACCAGTGCAGGGATAGGGGTGGGCCAGTTGTCACCCGTCTCCCTCTGAGCTCTCCCTTCCCACTGCTCTGTTCTCTGAAGATACCAGGGTCCTGTACTGCTGATCCGGAGAACCAAGGATGAGATCATCACCACCACGTGAGTGCGTGCGTGGGAATCTCGGCCCTCAGGAACCCCAGAGATGGCCAGGAACTTGTCCCTTCTACCTCTGCCCACCAGAAACCTGGGTATCTAGACCCTTCCTCCTAACCTCCAGCCCCTCCAGGGTACATTCTTCTCACCCCCAGGGTTCCTGAGGACATCATGTCCAACCGAGGCAATGACCTCCTGCTGAAGCTCCTGCAGCATCGGTGAGAGCCAGGGTGTGTGCGCGCTGGGGGCAGTGTACACACACAGATACTGATACCAGCACAGGGAAGGAGGGAGGAAGGTTCAGGGATGGTGAATGAAAAAAAATCAGCCCTGACCTGTCCTGGCACTTCCTCCGTAGGTATCCCCGGGTGATGGCAGAGGAGGGTCTTCGAGTGGTGAGGCAGTGGTTGGAGGCCTCCTCACAGCTGGAGGAAGGTGAGAAGGGATCCAGTGAGGCTTGGGGCGGGGGCCCAGCAAGGTCAGGTTGCTGACTGGCTGTCATCTCTCTCCCTGACCAGCCTCAATTTATAGCCGATGGGAGGTGGAAGAGGACTGGTGTCTGTCTGTCCTCCGCTCCTACCAGGCAGAACACGGGCCTGACTTCCCCTGGAGCGTGGGTAAGGAGCTCCTGGGGCAGGAGAGAGGGTGGGAAGGGCCTAGGAAGGGGATGAATACCCAGATGTGTGGCCTATTTTGAGCGCCTCCTCTCTGCAGGGGAGGACATGAGTGCAGATGGACGGCGGCAGCTGGCTTTGTTTCTGGTGAGCTAAGGAGTGGGAAGTGGGAAGGGTTCTTGAATGGCCAGGGCTCACATAGGGGGACTGGGGATACCCTATAAGCATTGGAAGTGGCAGCTTTTGTAGAGTGGGTGGTGGATGCGGAAGTGGAGGGTGGGGAGGGAGTCCAGTGGCTGCCCCTCCCAACAGTGCTCTGTACCCCACCTGTCCCACCTCCTTTCCTCAGGCTCGGAAGCATCTGCACAACTTTGAGGCCACTCACTGCACCCCACTCCCAGCCCAGAACTTCCAGATGCCCTGGCACCTCTAGGGACCAACTGGGACTCATTATGGAAGAATGGGGTGAGAGGAGACATGAGGAAAGACCCTCTTATTTGTGATTCTCTGTGTTCATGTTGCTGTTTATAGTTTGTGGAAAGTGGGGGACCATCCCCCTTCTCACCACTGTTCCTCTTGCACGTTTCCCCTCATTCATGTGGCTGTACTTAACCTTCTCCAACATACATCCTGCATTACATGAATGGATTATTCCTAATAATTAATAAAAAGGTATTTTTTCTACTATCTGGCTAATTGTATAACTTCTCAAGTGTCCAGGGAGCCAGGGGCAGGTAGTGGGGAGAGCAGAGGCCCCAAAGAGCTGGGCTTTGGGAAACCCTAACTCTAGACAATCTAGCTAATCTAACCCTTCCCATCTCTGTGTCCCCCTAGGCCTTCAGCCCCTAACCTGAGCTTTCCTCAGGCAGCAGGTCCCCAAACCTCCCCGGTCCCTGATGTGCCTACTGTTATCACAACTGTGCAGCCTCCCTGGCCCCTCCCGCCTCCTTCTTCAGTTCTTCCTGCATACAACCACCCCAGGAGCCCATGGTTGCCCCCTCCTGCTTACGGCTCATGAGCTTTCTAGGATCCGATTTCACCTACCCAGTGCTTCTGCTGGTTTCCAGGTTCAACCTGCATGGTGTTACTAGCAGTACCCCCAATTTTCATTGCTCACCTCTTGTTATCTTGGTGAAGAGTGAGGAAGGGCCTGCTCCCCACGTCTTATGCAGCAAACCCTGCACACCCACCTTGCCATGTCATCAAGTCTCTGTCCTCACAGCCTTTTTGCAGTTCAACAAACACAGGCCCTGCCAGGGACGGAGGGCCAGGTGCCAAGGACTCATGTCTTCTCAGAGCCATACTTTGCCTTTTGGACGGCTCTGTTAGGAGAAGATGCTTAGGTTGTACCTGAGGAAATTGGTTCCCTATAACTGCCATCTATCTCTAACTTTGGACCTTGTGGAACACAGTGAATAAATCCCTCTTCCACCCATTGGTTTGTTGCCTGGCAGTTTTTTTTATTTTTTTGGAGATGGAGTCTTACTATGTTGCCCAGGCTGGAGTGCAGTGGCACAATCTGAGCTTGCTGCAACCTCCACCTCCCAGGTTCAAGTGATCCTCCAGCCTCAGCCCCTCTAGTAGCTGGGATTACAGGTATGCGCCACCATACCCAGTTGATTTTTGTATTTTTAGTGAAGATGAGGTTTCGCCATGTTGGCCAAGTTGGTCTCGAACTCCTGACCTCAGGTGATCCAACCGCCTTGGCTTCCCAAAGTGTTGGGGATTAAAGGTGTGAGCCACTGCGCCTGGCCGCTGGCCACTTTCTTCATTTGGAAACTTCTCTTTTCCAGATGAAAGACCCCAAAGTTTATCGCCCTGAGTCCATTTTTGTTTTGTTTTGTTTTATTTTGTTGGGGATGGTTTTTTGTTTGTTTTTTGAGATGGATTCTCACTCTGTCGCCTAGGCTGGAGTGCAGTGGCACGATCTCAGCTCATTGCAACCTCTGCCTCCCAAGTTCAAGCGATTCTCCTGTCTCAGCCTCCCAAGTAGCTGGGATTACAGGTGTGTGCCACTACACACAGCTGATTTTTCGTATTTTAGTAGAGACAGGTTTCACCATGTTGCCCAGGCTGGTCTCAAACTCCTGAGCTCAGGCAATCCACCCACCTCAGCCGACTCCATTCTTTTTTTTTTTTTTTTTTTGAGACGGAGTCTCGCTCTGTCACCCAGGCTGGAGTGCAGTGGCACAATCTCGGCTCACTGCAAGCTCCGCCTCCTGGGTTCACGCCATTCTCCTGCCTCAGCCTCCCTAGTACCTGGGACTACAGGCGCCTGCCACCACGCCTGGCTAATTTTTTGTATTTTTAGTAGAGACGGGGTTTCACTGTGTTAGCCAGGATGGTCTCGATCTCCTGACCTCGTGATCCACCCGCCTCTGCCTCCCAAAGTGCTGGGATTACAGGCGTGAGCCACCGCGCCCGGCCAACTCCATTCTTTTGAGCAAGATACTTAACGTGGGCGACAATGTTCTAATGTCCTAGATGGAGTCTCTGGCTAAATTTCTGTGTCTTCTCCAAACCCAGTGCATGAAGCTCTTCTTGAAACCCCAGGGCAGAGGCTGTGTGTGCCCCCATTAGCGCTGCAACTCCTTAAGGGAAGATATACTGAGTCTCCACTGGAAGTGGAGATCTGAGACTTAATCAGGTGATGTGATGCCTGAAATTTGGAGTTAGAAGAGGCAGGTGACCACAGCTCCATAATGCTCCACCGTTAGCAAACAGGTGGATAGCTGATACTGGTGCCCTCTCCTCTATCCCATTCCAGGGGGGCAAACGATGGGAAGTGTGGAACATGAAGCTCTGGAGCCAGCTGCACAGTTCTGAATCCCATCCTCCCAGATCCAACAGAAGAGTTAATCCCCTGAAAACTAAATTTTTGTTCAGCTAAGGGAAGCTCCTTAAATGCAAAGAGGAGCTGGGCATGGTGGCTCACATCTGTAATCCCAGCACTTTGGGAGGCTGGGGCAGGAGGATCACTTGAGCCTAGAAGTTCAAGACTGGACAGGGCAACATAGGGAGACTCCATCAGTACAAAAAATTTAAAAATTACCCAGGCATGGTGGCATGCACCCGTGTTCCAAGCTACTCTGGAGGCTGAGGTAAGAGGATCGCTTGGCTGAGGATCACGGTAGGTTGAGGCTGCAGTGAGCTGTGATCGTGCCACCGGACTCCAGCTTGGGTGACAGAGTGAGACTCTGTCTCAAAAAAAAAAAAAAAAGCAAATAGGGGTGCCCAGTCTCACCTCCCATACCCTGGGGACAAAGGACACCCCTCCCTGGACATGGCCATTAGGGACTCTGCTGAACTGCCCCTACTGCCACTTTCCCCCATCTTACTGCATGTAATTGTAGACAACAGTGGATGACCTGAGGGGCCCTTAGATACCTGAAATTGGGTAGGGAAAGAAAGGTAGGCTCAACATGTGAATTCTGAACCCCCCCATCCAGGGGCCTCAGCCTACTTCAGATTACTCCCTATGCAATAAGGTTCAGAGCAGCTGTGTTTGTTTTCAGAACTAATCCCCACCCAGGGGTGGAAGCAGGCCCCTGTCCACTCCTCACCCTATATAGCAAAGTTCCAGCAGTTCCAGGGGATGATCAGCAGAGATGCAGACCTTCCCAGTTGCTGGGGCGCTGGACCCTGCTATACTGGACACAAGGTGAGGCCTGAAAGTCCAGGCACCCTGAGGAGCTGGGCAAACTAGCAGAAAAGATGGCGCTGGGAGAAAGGAAAGTTAGACTCTGGACGGGAAATCTGGAAAGAAGTGGTTCCCAGCTGGGCCAAAAAGCCTCATCCTACGCCGTCTCATCGACCTGGGCTCCACCCTGAGTGCCTCCAGTGTGAGGTGCTGGACTGGCTCTGTGCTGCCTGTTTGGGTTGAGGGTTTGCTCCTAGGAGAGGCATGTATTTCTCGTACAGCTGTCACAAGCGAGTGAGGGCTCCGGAGGTGGAGGGCCCAAGAGGGTGGGGAGCTCAGGCGTCAGTGATAGCCAGATTTCCATCCATCGGTCCGTCCGTCCGTCCATCCATCCATCCATCTATCCAATCAACAAGCCATTCCGGATTCTTCAGGAATCCAGTCATTCATTTATATTTAGGTTAAAGACCCTCTCTCTGGTTCCTCTCTAGAACGCAATCTCGAGCCGCTCCCCCAACAAACCGTGGCCCTCTCCCGACCGGGTCATCTACAGCCCCGCCCCTCGTTTGCCTGGCTCCATTCCCCTAACCTTGGCGTTCTGTCCTCAGGCCCCGCCTTCTTTGTTTCGTCACTCGGTTGCTTACCCTCAGGTATCCCTTAACTCTAGGTAGGAGCACTCAGAAGGGACACCGTCATCTGCTGCTGTCGCCATGGCGATTATTCAACGCCCTGCCTCTTCACCCCAGGAAAACCTTCGCGGAACCCGTCACCATGGAAACGAACTCTCTGGACTCTTAGCGCGCCCTGGGCTGGCCCTGCTGGGTGGACAGGAGAGGAGCAAAACGCAACAAAGACGGGATTAATTACTCGGAGGCCGCGCCCCCTCCGAAGAAGGCCCCACCCTGCCCCGGCCTCACCCCTCCCCGAAATAATTCGAGGAAATATTCCGCGAATGCTGGGTGGGTGTCTTGCCCCCCGGTTCCCTCAAGGCCCACGGTCGCTTGAATTCCACAGCAAGTCCTCCCGGACCTCTCAGGGCAATCCCCTCCCGAAGCCCAGCCTCAGCCTCGCAAAGCCTCTAGTCGTTGGCCTTTTCGTTGCGATTATATTCGAGAGGGAGCTTCAGAGGGCGCCGCGAAGTTCCCCTGTGCTTCCCCTTTGCCCTTTGCCCTCTTCGCTTCAAGAGGAGCCCTGGCTCTCTTTTTTTTTTTTTTTTTTTTTTTTGAGACGGAGTCTTGCTCTGTCGCCAAGCTGGAGTGCAGTGGCGCGATCTCGGCTCACTGCAACCTCCGTCTCCCGGGTTCAAGCGATTCTCCTGCCTCAGCCTCCTGAGTAGCTGGGACTACAGGCAGGCGCCACCACTCCTGGCTAATTTTTGTATGTTTAGTAGAGACGGGGTTTCACCATATTGTCCAGGATGGTCTCGATCTCTTAACCTTGTGATCCGCCCAGCTCGGCCTCCCAAAGTGCTGGGATTACAGGCGTGAGCCACGGAGCCCGGCCCTCTGATTCTTTTTGTCTATCACTCTGTGCACTCATTCATTCAAGACATTTATGTAGGTGCCCCGCGTTCCTCTGCAGTTCTCCACTACTCTGGCTTTTCTCTAATACAATTTATTTTGTGTTATTATTTCTTTAAGACAGAGTCTCACTCTGTCGCCCAGGCTGGAGTGCAGTGGTGCGATCTCGGCTCACTGCAACCTCTGCCTCCCAGGTTCAAGAGATTCTCCTGCCTCAGCCTCCCGAGTAGCCAGGACTACAGGCGTGCGCCACCACACCTGGCTAATGTTTTTGTATTTTTTGATAGAGACGGGGTTTCACCATGTTGCTCAGGCTGGTTGCGAACTCCTGACCTCGAATGATCCCCCACCTTGGCCTCCCAAAGTGCTGGGATTACAGGCATGAGCCGCCACGCCCGGCTAATTTTTGGTATTTGTAGTAGAAACGGGGTTTCACCATGTTAGCCAGGCTGGGTGCGAACTCCTGACCTCAGGTAGTCCACCCGCCTTGGCCTCCCAAAGTGCTGGGATTACAGGCGTGAGCCACCGCAGTCCGGCCCTAATATAGTTTTTAAATTCATTCATTCCAAGGCTTTTGGGAGGCGCTCAGTGGCGTGCAGTTTCCTCTCGAATTTCTTTCTTCCCGCAGTCTTTCTGGGCGGGCGTCTCCCGTCTGTTTCTTCCCATCTTCCCCCTTATCATCCTGGGACTGGATAATTCTTGAATAGTCTGGGAGGTAGCAGGGAACCCGAGTTCGGAGCCTCGACCAGAACCTCCAGACGGGAAATTGGAGCAGGTGGTGTCGTTCCAGGACGCTGAGGACCACCTCCTCCCCTAACGCACAGCCCAACGATCCTAAAAGTAAAAACCCTGAGTTTCTGAGTCAAGACTGAGCTGGTGGGGTGGGGACCGAGTAGGCGTGGATGGGGAGCCCAGCGGGTCCCCAGCGGAGAAAATGGGTGAGACGCCTGGGGCCGCGGTCTCCAGAATTCGCCTGGGAGGGAGAGTGGCGCTACGGCGCCGCCTTCCTGGGGAGCCGCTTCGGGCTCCGGATGTCCGCTGGGGCCCGACGCTTGGGTCCCGACGCGCGGTTCGCACTTTCCAGGTTTCTTCCCCAGGGAACAGAGCTTGAGCCGGGGGCCACCCCCCCGTCCTACCGGAGTTCTGAGGTGCGGTCAGGCGCGGAGAGCGGACGCCCAGCGCCAGATTCTGTGGGCTCCGGAGTTCAGGCCCACTGAGCCGCAGCTGAGCACAGGCGGGGCAGGAAAAAGGATGAGGTGAGGGAAGGCGCTGGGTTCCTGGAACCCCAAGGGAGCACTGAGCTGAGTACGTATCGCTTGGGATCCAGGTGTCCTTGTTTTAGGATGTCTGACAGGTGTCCCCAGGGTATGAGAAGTGGGACTGGGCACCCCCTATTTGCTTTTTTTTTTTTTTTTTGAGACAGACCACATGTTTCCTATCTTGGAAAATGGTACCACTTCCTTGTGCAAGCCTACCCCTGTTCCCTCACCCCTCGTTCAGTCCAACAGCAAATCTGTCCAGTCTTCTAACTGTATCTCAGGTTCATTAGCCCCGCTTCCTCGTCCCTGCTCGTCTTCTGCCGGACCAGTCCGCCATCTTGTGACCGGACTCGGGAATAGCGTCCTACTTCCCGGCGGCCTCCACTCTTGACCCAAATGCAATGTGCAGCCATGGCAATCTTTTATAAACAGAAATCCGATCAAGTTACTCCTCTGCCGAAATCCCTCTGGTCAGTGGTTTAACTGTCGAGGTGCTCCTGGCAGCACTCTGCCCTCCCCACATCATTGCTGGTGGACTTGTCTCCCCTACTAGACTGTGCCCTGTGAGGGTGGAGACTTTGTGCAGGGTTGTATCCCCAACATCTGATGCAGTGATTCAATAAACATCTGTCCAATTAATAGGAAAGACAGTTCCTTTTCTCATTCCCCTATTGCTGGTCCCCTGCCCTCAAGCAGGATGTTATGCCCCAGAGTGGCTGTGGGTGCGAACATTCTGCCCCTCTGGCTGGTCTGGCACTGATTTCCACCCTGAGCTGGTGTTGCCTCTCTCCTTCCTCTTGGCCAACCTCTCTTCCACCAATATAAGCCCAAACTGGAGGCCAGCAGGCAGTCATGCGTTTTATGGCAGGCCCTGCAGGGAGCCAGAGTCTGGGTCCCCTGTGCTTCCACAGCAGCCCCCAAGCCCTCTACACGGTCCTCTTAATAGTGCTGGTCATGATGAGCTTGGTGTTTGGTAAGTGGCTCCAAGGGTTCAGAAGGGTCTCCTGGCCTGGATGGAGAAACCCACAGACACCAAGTGTCTGGGTACACCTGTCCAGGATGCTCAGGTAAACCCATGCAGGAGGAGAGATGGGACAGATGGGTTTGGTAGGGAATGCCTGCTCATGGACTGATGTGCAATCTGAAGATTTTTAAAAATTTATTATTATTATTATTTTTGAGATGGAGTCTCGCTCTGTATCCCAGGCCGGAGTGCAGTGGCGAGATCTCGGCTCACTGCAACCTCCACCTCCCGGGTTCAAGCGATTCTCATGCCTCAGCCTCCCGAATAACTGGGATTACAGGCATAAGCCACCAAGCCCAGCTAATTTTTGTATATTTAGTAGAGACGGGGTTTCACCATGTTGGCCAGGCTGGTCTCGAACTCCTGACCTCAGGTACCTGCCCGCCTTGGCCTCCCAAAGTGCTGGGATTACAGGCGTGAGCCACCGCACCCAGCCTCTGAAGGAGATTTCTAGTGACCACCCCAGGGCTGTCTCACTTCACAGCAGTGACCTGAATAGAGATACTGAAGGAATCCTCTCTGGATCTGAGGGCAACATAGAATAGGGAGGGTTAGGGAGTGTGCTGGATGAGAAAACCAGAATCCACAGGATAGAACAAGACTGAGTCCAGCCTGCTGGGCTCCCCACTTGGCTGCAAAGCACCAGCCACAGAGACACAGGATTCAAAGTGTTGGTTTAGCACTTTCCTCTGCCTAACACCAAGTGCTCTGCTGGGTCTGGGGATTTGTTAACATGTGGTCTGGCCTTAGGACCAGAGGAAAAGGGGGATGTATGTGTATGCAGTTGGGGAAGGAAGCAGAGAATTGGGGCTTTGATGGTTTTCTGAGACAGGAAGGGAGGGAGGAGTGGGGCTGAGTGGCCTGGAATCAGGCAGTGGTAGGGTGTGAGGTAGAATGGGGTGTGAGTGGGGTCAGCACTTCTCTGTGTTCTAGGTAAGTTTGTTCCTGTCAATTGGGAACCCCCTCAACCACTTCCATTCCCCAAATACCTGCGCTGCTACCGATGCCTCTTGGAGACCAAGGAGTTAGGGTGCCTTCTGGGATCTGACATCTGCCTCACCCCAGCTGGCAGCAGCTGCATCACTCTCCACAAAAAGAACAGTAAGTGGCCTTCTCCTGTCATGGGCCCAGCACTCTCCCAAACGGAAACTCTCTCAGCCTCCTAAGCTGCACCCCAAGTCTTGTTCCCATAATCCCATAAGACATTGCTCCGATCCTGTCTTTTTTTTTTTTGCTGCTCTGTCACCCAGGCTGGAGTGCAGTGGCGCAATCTTGGCTCACTGCAACCTCCACCTCCCCAGTTCAAGCAATTCTTGTGCCTCAGTCTCCCAAGCAGCTGGGATTAAAGGTGCACGCCACCACGCCCAGCTAATTTTTTGTATTTTTAGTAGAGATGGGGATTCACCATGTTGGCCAGGCTGGTCTCGAACTCCTGACCTCAGGTGATCCACCCACCTTAGCTTCCCAGAGTGCTGGGATTACAGGCGTGAGCCACCGTGCCCAGCCTCTCTTCCCTTTTCTTCAGAGCCACACTCTGTCTCCACTTCCACTAACCTTCTCTCCTCAATCTGTAGCTGAATAGCTTCTACCCTATCAAGGTGCGCAGCTTTGACGGGGACCCTCCAGATCTCCAGGTGCCCTTGCCTGTCCTCAAGCTGTCTGCTTCCGCATCTGTCTGCAGTTACTGCTGGTGTTGCTCTTCTCCTGCATCCTCCACGGCTTCTTCAGTCTCCTTCATGGAGCGTTTTCTCTCTGACCCTTAGTGGTTCATGTTCACCAAGGTTTGGTCCTTAGCTGTCTTCCCACTTCATATACTCAAAAGCAGAGGATTTTATCTGCTTTGCTGGCTTCAACCAGCAGCCACATACCACTTCCTTCTGAATCTGAATGTTATGTCAAACCGCTCTCCTCATATCCCGTTGACCACTGGACATCTCCCTCGCTGAAAATTGACTCCTTCCCGATGCCTGCTCTTCCACCGACCCCCCACCTTTCTTAAGTTAGCAAAAACGTAACACATAATATGTGCTAGGCACTGTTCTAAACACTTGCAATCCACTGAGGCAGGTATTATTACTATGTGCATTTTACAGATGAGGAAACAGGTGCAGAAAGGTCATAACCTTGCCTGAGTCTCACAGATGCTGAGCCAGAATTTGTGATGGCTCCAGAGATGGTGCTCTCAACAACCACTGCATGCAGCTGCCTGTGTTCAAGTCCTCTTACTACCCTTTTAACATAGCCGATGCACAGATGTGGGTCAAATATCAGAGTATACAATACCATCAAACCAAAGTCTCCCGCTACTACCCTAACCCACCTGGCTCCCCTGCACATGTGACCACTTTTTTTACTTTCTGGATGATCCCTCCTGCAATCTTTTATGCACATTCCACCCTGCACAAATATGCTGTTTACTATTTTTTCACCTCTTCCCCCGCCCCAACCCAAGATAGTAGCATCCCACTGTAAACATTATTCCACATTTAAGTTAGGGGAACTGAATGTTCCGATATCAGTTTGTAAACAGCTTCCTTGTTTTATTGACCTGCTGTATACTACTCCATAGCATGCGCATATCACAGCTGATTTCCCCATCCCACTATTGATGGGCATTTTGGTCATTTCTCTCAAGCAGGGCAGCAGCAAACATCCCTGAACATGACTTCTTGGGATGCAGGCACAAAGATTTTTCTCTATTATGTATAACAGCAGCAGACATCATCTTATTCTCTTTTGGTCTGAAAAATAAATAACAATACACCTCCTTCCTGCCACCCAATCTCCAAAACATTTCCCAGCTTTTTCTCACATGGTCCTATGGTGCTAGTTCTCCTCACTTGGCTCAGTAACTCCCAACTCCCCCTCCAACCATTACATTTCATATGGCTCTTTTCCTCCAGCCTTGCATGGGAACTTCAGTGGAGTTCCATGGCTGGTGAACACTGGGCATGTCCACCCATGCCTAACTACAGGAATCTTTTCTTTTTCTTTTTTTTTTGACTTATGAGTGTGGGGATGAGAGGATTTGGGGCTCTTCCTGGGGACTTCCGTATCACTGGTGCCCACTGTCCCTCCCCAGGCAGCGGTTCTGACGTCATGGTGAGTGACTGCCGAAGTAAGGAGCAGATGAGTGATTGTTCAAATACCCGAACTTCTCCGGTGTCTGGCTTCTGGATATTCTCTCAATACTGCTTCCTGGATTTCTGCAATGACCCTCAAAACAGAGGGCTCTATACTCCTTAGTGTGACTGCAGCAAACTTTGGTGTAAAATTCCACCAGTTTCCAGCCACCTTCCTGACTTCTATCTGGGCTTGGCCAGGACTTCTAGTCCCTCACACCAGCCCTCCTTGCCTCCCTCCAGCCACTGGACCCCAGCCTTGGCTCTTCCTCTTGGTTGACGCCCTTCAGCACACTTACTGCTACTCTGTACCCCCAGCCCTACTGCCCACCAGGTTTCCTCTCTTGTCCCCTAGTCCCTGGATGTTTCTCCCAAATAAATTTGTGTGTAAACTGTTTGGTATGTCTCTTTCTTCTGGTGGAGGTGAAGGCTGAGGGAGGTGCACCTGCCTAACTGCCCTACCATGGGTCAGGTAAGGGACCCCCAGCTCTGCTGAGCTGTCCTCTTGTCCTGCCTTGGTATGTGATTTGCTCTAGACACAAAAAGAGAAAGAGGAAATGAAAGCCCTCCTATGGTGAATGCCAGAAAGTTAGTGGGCATCCTCGGCAGTGCTGTCAGACCAGAGCTGTGTGGGGGCTAGGGGCGTTTAGAGGGCTATGTTGGTGGGAAGGGGGCTGCGAAAGGACCAGGCCCAGGTAGAAGGAGGTGGGTGAGAAGGCCACTCTTTTTTTGAGACAGTCTCACTGTCACCTAGGCTGGAGTGCAGTGGTGTGATCTTGGCTCATTGCAACTTCTGCCTCCCAGGTTCAAGTGATTCTTCTGCCTCAGCCTCCCGAGTAGCTGGGATTACAAGCACATGCCACCACACCTGGCTAATTTTTATATTTTATTAGTAGAGACGGGGTTTCACCAGTTGGCCAGGCTGGTCTCGAACTCCTGACTTCAAGTGATCTGCCTGCGTTGGCCTCCCAAAGGGCTGGGATTACAGGCGTGAGTCACCCCGAGCCGAGAAGGCCACTCTCAAAGAGATGTTAGACCTTATTGGAGTCCTGGTCTCTTCAATTCTGGGCCAAGTTCTTCAGCCTCTGAGGGTGTCTTCCAGGTTGACCTGCTATAAACCTGGGCCTTTCTCTGTCTTATACTGACGTCAGAGGTCATGGAGAAGGGTGGACTTAGCAAGGTGGGGGTTGGGGGGCACATTAAGGGTTTGTACCTCTCTTTGTACGCCAACTGCCTCATGACTTAATTATCATTGGTTTGGTATTTTCCGTCAGAGTACAGGCCACACAGATTTGTTAACACGTGTGCAAAACACTATATAGGTAAAAGCAGATGCGTACGATGCCATTTCCATCAAGCACAGACAGAACTCATCTAAGCTACTACCAGTCAGGACAGCGGCTACCCCAGAGCTGGGAAGAGCACCTGGGAGAGGGGAACAGAGGCAGGCTTGGCTGCGGGTAAAGGTCTTCACGCTGATTTGGTGGCTGGTTACACAGATGTGTGGTTTACAAAAATCCATCTTGTGATATGTGCAAGCTTCTGAATGTTTTACCAAAAAGGTTTGAAAATAAGTAAATCAGCCAGGTGAGCATGGTGGTGTGCAACTGTAGTCCCAGCTACTTGGAGGCTGAGGCAGAAGAATCTCTTGAGCCCAGGAGTTCAAGGCCAGCTTGGGCAACATAGTAAGAACCTTAGAAAAAAAAGCTGAACATTGTGTATGCATTTGACTCTAGGGCAAATATATTTTTTTGAGGGGGAAAAGGCCTTAACTTCTACTTGTGTATGCACATTTACATGTGTTTTCTCAATCATCTGAGGCACTATCCCTACTTGACAGGTGACCAAGGTGGGGCTGAAGAGACTGACATATCCAAGTGGTAGAGGGGCTGGGATTGGACCTCCCAGCCACAAAGCTGCACTGCTTTTCAGAAAAAGGTTTCATAACCCAAGCACTGGGCTGCAAGACTTGGAAGGGCAGACACCTGGCTATACTCATCTGGGAGTCCTGCTGCTCAATACCAAGCCTGACTCAGAGCAGCGTTATGTCCAGCATGTTTATCCAGTGTATGGAAAAGGCTGTTGTATCCATCCTTGCTTTCTATACGTTTGCACTATTTCAAAATTAAAATATTAGCATGAAGATCCAACCACTGCAGCCCAACATCAGTGCTCTCAGCACTTTGCCCCTCAAATTGGGCCCCTCGAGAGGGCATCCTGGATGCCAGAATCCTTGAAAAGAACTAAGGAATGGCAGGAGTCCAGGGCCCCAGCAGCAGGTAACTCTGGCATGTGGCTCTGAGTTCCTGAGTCTTTCTGGTTTAAAGAGAAAGTTTCTTTTTTTTTTTTTTGGAGACAGTCTCGGTCTGTCACCCAGGCTGGAGTACAGTGGCACGATCTCGGCTCACTGCAAACTCTGCCTCCCAGGTTCAAGCGATTCTCCTGCCTCAGCCTCCTGAGTAGCTGGGATCACAGACACGTGCCACCATGCCCAACTAATTTTTTTTTTTTTTTTTTTAGTAGAGATGGGCTTTCACCATGTTGGTCAGGCTGGTGTCGAACTCCTGACCTCATGATCCGCCTGCTTCGGCCTCCCAAAGTGCTGGGATTACAGGCAAGCCACCGCGCCCAGGCTTTTTTTTTTTTTTTTAAGACAGAGTTTCGCTCTTGTTGCCCTGTCTGGAGTGCAATGGCGTGATCTCAGCTCACTGCAACCTACACCTCCCCGGTTCAAGCAATTCTCCTGCCTCAGCCTCCCAAGTAGCTGGGATTACAAGCATGAGCCACCATGCCCAGCTAATTTTTCATATTTAGTAGAGACAAGATTTCACCATGTTGGTCAGGCTGGTCTCAAACCCGACCTCAGGTGATCCACCCACCTCGGCCTCCCAAAGTTCAGGGATTACAAGCATGAGCCACCGCACCTGGCCTAAAGTTTCTTTTCTTAGGTGAAAAGACCTGGCATCATCAGGGTCTAACTTTCCAGGTTTTGTAGGGTATGTTTAAGGCTGGGAAGAATCACAGTCCCCATGCTTTGATCTCCAGCTAAGCAGAGGGTGGGGAGGGATGTGTGCCCTTTACAGGAGGCCGAGAGGAAGCGACAAACGCCAAGTGCAATGGAGAGGGCTCTGCAATCCTATTTGGATCCCAAACCTCACTAACCCTTTTTTTTTTTTTTTTTTTTTGAGACACAGTTTCACTCTTGTTGCCCAGGCTGGAGTGCAATGGTGCAATCTCGGCTCATCGCCACCTCCACCTTCCAGGTTCAAGTGATTCTCCGGCCTCAGCCTCCCGAGTAGCTGTAATTACAGGTATGCGCTACCAAGCCCGGCTAATTTTGTATTTTTAGTAGCGATGGGGTTTCTCCATATTGGTCAGGCTGGTCTCAAACTCCCAATCTCAGGTGATCCGCCTGCCTCAGCCTCCCAAAGTGCTGGGATTACAGGCGTGAGCCACTGCGCCAGGCATTAACCCTCTTTAATCTGTGTTTACCTGCCCACACCTGAGCCTGACCCCACAAACAATGTGACACAGTTTTAGCCCAGTCCCAGTTTATTGTGGAGGAAAATGGGGGACATGGAGCTGAGCAGAACAGACCCTTCCCTCTCCTCTCACAGGCCCCTAGGGAGATGGGTGTCAGGACTCAGTGAAGTGAAATGGGGCCGAGGAAGCCAGAGACTGACAAGAGAGCAAGAGAGGACAGGAGGCAGAACAACACTAGGACAGGCGGGGGTTGGTGGAGACAGTGAGGCAGGGACACAAAATTGCCAAGTCAGGACATCTGCACAGAATTCTATTCCTCATCCTTTTTTTTGGAGACGGAGTCTCACTGTGTCACCCAGGCTGGAGTGCAGTGGCGCGATCTCGGCTCACTGCAACCTCTGCCTCCCGGGTTCAAGTGATTCTCCTGTCTCAGCCTCCTGAGTAGCTGGGATTACAGAGGTGTGCCACCACACCCAGCTGATTTTTCTATTTTTAATAGAGAGCGGGTTTTACCATGTTGGCCAGGCTGGTCTCAAACTCCCAATCTCAAGTGATCCGCCCACCTCGGCCTCCCAAAGTGCTGGGATTACCGGCGTGAGCCACCATGCCCGGCCTCCTCGTCCTTCTTGCTGCTAGTTCAGTCTGGTACTGGGTCTTAGAGACATGGACAAGACAGGGGAAACAGAGCTAGATGTCAATAGGCAGGTGACTGGATTGAGAGGGATGGGGGATACTGGAACACTCAGATGATGGGGAAGGAATGGAGGAACCACTGTGCCTTTCTCAGGTCAGCCTGTCTGGGCAGAATCCACACTAGAGATTCTTTTCTAGGGGGAAGAACAGCACCAGAGCTCAGCCAGGCACAGTGGCTCACACCTGTAATCCCGGCACTTTGGGAGGTCGAGGAGGGCAGATTACGAGGTCAGGAGTTCGAGACCAGCCTGACCAACATGGTGAAACCCCGTCTCTACTAAAAATACAAAAAATTAGCCAGGCGTGGTGGTGCACGCCTGTAGTCCCAGCTACTCGGGAGGCTGAGGCAGGAGAATCGCTGGAACCCGGGAGGTGGAGGTTGTAGTGAGCAGAGATCATGCCACTGCACTCCACCCTGGGTGACAGAGCGAGACTTTGTCTCAAACAAACAAAAAAACAGCACCAGAGTTCAAGAGAGAAAATTACACAAAAGTCATATAGATGCTAGTGGTACAACAGACGGAGGCCTAAGAAATCACAGTGACCAAAGAATGTGGGTGTTTTCAGAGAGGGCAGTGCAGGATGCTGAGGGTGTTACAGAAAGATATTTGCACTGTGGAATTCAGGAAGGGTGAGGTGTCAAGAGTCCAGCCTGGGGAAGAACCAAAAGTCCTGAACTATTGAGGAACAAGTACATGCGGCACAGCTCAGCAAAAGACAAGCCCAGGTTCAGGGACAGTGTGACCATGGGGTCCAGGCCATCAGGCTCCGTCCCAGCATGGAAATTGGGGAGGGGCAGGGAGAGGTTCAGGGCCTGGTAGAACCACTGAATCTGGGAGTCAGACAGAGGCAGGGCCAGGGGCCTGTCATGGGGCTCCGGCAGAGAGCTCTGGAGTTGGGGGCTTGACCAGGAGTTGCAATAATCGTACTGACAGCACTGGGCCTGATACCAGTACTCTGCAAAGTAGGTGTTGCGTTTTTCTTGGCAGCGGTAGGAAATGTACTGTCCACAGCCTCGAACGATGAAGCGAACCTTGACATCTGAGGGAGAGGGGAAAGCTGATAACCCCTTCCAATAGCTTCCCATAGTCCAAGAACCCCTGCTACTGACTTTTCCCATCCTTCACCCAGACCTAATTTACTTCTAACCCAGAGTCCTTCAAGAGGCTAGAAAAGTGAGCTCTGCTGGCCCCCTAGAACCTTAGACCCCTCCTTCCAAGATTCTTCTGGTTTTTTTTGAGACAGGGTCTAGCTCTGTTACCCAGGCTGGAGCATGGTGGCGCAATCTTGGCTCACTGCAACCTATGCCTCCTGAGTTTAAGAGATCTCCCACCTCAGCCTCCCGAGTAGCTGGGACTACAGGTGCATACCACCATGCCTGGCTATTTTTTTGTAGAGACAGGGTCTCACTATGTTGCCTAGGCTGGTCTTGAACTCTAGAGCTTAAGTGATCCACCTGCCTCAGCCTCCCAAAGTGCTAGGGTTACAGGCATGAGCCATTGCACTCAGCCCCTCCTCTCTTCTTGTACCCCATGCCCGGAGCAGCCCTGATTTGTGAGAGGAGAGAAGACCAAGCCATTGGCTGCCCCACCAGCAGCCCCTTCCTGGGACCTTATTTACCATAATAGATGGTGATCACCATGCACAGGGATGAGCTGCTGATGGTACACTTCTCTGAGCCTGAAATGCATCCTACAGAAGGGTCTTCTACGAGGCAGAAGTGGCACGTCCGGATGTCGGGAACAGGAACTGGGGAGGCAGAAGGAGGGATGGAGGCACTGGGTCACTCTCAAATACCCTGGGCCAGTAGGAAGCCCGATTATCCATGGCCACGCTCCACCCCCTTCCTGGACTCAGTTACCCCTTCCTCCCTCCCTGCCCCTGGGCCCCACTTACCCTTTCCTACTGTGAAGCCCACCATGACCAGCACACCTACAAGCATATGGACCTTCATTTTGGAATTCTGGGGAGATGGGCAGTTCCTGAGGGGATGCCCTGAAACCCCACCTTCCTGTGACCATGCTCCTTAATCCTAAGCTGCAGGGTGGTTTTGACAAGGTCTGAGCAGGAGCTGCTGTAAATGCAGAGCTATATTCCTACTTGGGGCAGGATCCTGGCTGGGAAGGAAGTTATTACTTGGCAGGAGGGACAGCATGTCCTCACCCACAACGTCTGGTTCCTGAGTGTGGGAGTAATGGCCCAGATGGGGTAATACCTGGGCACTACCGGGTTCTTTATCCAGTGTCTACCTTTGTCTTGCATACCCTCCAAAGACCTATTCCCTCCCTTGGAAAGTCCATGGGTTAGTATCTATCTCTGCCACCATGTGCTGTCTTCGTCATACAACAGGGCCAATCCCCACTGTGCTGGGACAACCTGGCCAGGAAATCAAGCATCCCCATCCTTCTGAGATGAGCAGTCTCAGCTCCACCAGCGGCAGGCACACACACATCACTGAGCAGCAATTCCGGACCTTGTCCCACCTCGTTCCACCCTTTAGTTATACTGACTTTAGGCTACTTTTCCTTTAGAACTAAAACTAAAAGATGGAGCTGCTGATTAAGCCCCTTACAGTATAAACAGACAGTCATAGATATCCAAACAAATATTTCTCATCTTTGAAATATGCTTTGTCTTTTCCTTTTGACCTTGCATTTCATCACACGCAGTCCTAGGAATTCTGTTCTGCTCCATACTAAAAACACCACCCAATCCACTGAGCACAAATCTGTCCTGGTTTTCAATCTGGGGAGGGTGGGCTGGGCCATGAGGGCCCCTGGAGTCCAACACACCATCACCTTCCCTTCCCCAACAGCAAGCACCAGCAGACTAGCTCATGGCCTTTTCTTCTACTTTATTTCATATTCCCACCACAATAACGACTCCTTTAATTTAAACTAAAAACCATACAGGGTTCCTGAAAGGGTGGCAAAAAAGAAAGGAAAAGTCAAAGACTGCAGGACAGGTGGGGGAGGGAATCAGCGAATCGTCTTGACTGGGCTCTTGAAGTTGCTGGCGGCTTGGAGCTGCAGCTGGTAGGCCATCGGATGGATCTTGAAACCGTAGAGCCTAGGCCAGGGCAGAGGTCAGAGAGGCAGCAGCATGAGCCCCATCCAGGCCCTGCCAGTCACCTGCATTCCCACCTCCCCACCTGAGCTCCTCTATGGACCTGCTCAGAGCTAAAGCCTCGTGGTTCCCAACTTCTCAGCTCAAGAACATTCTACAATAAGGTAACTCAAGCACAGATAATCAAATAACTTTCCCACAGTCACTCAGCAGGGAGATGCCCTGATTCTGGGAGAAGCAGACCTCAAGAAAGGGCCATGCCCTGTCCTCCCCTCTCTGGGGGATCTTGGGCCTTTCCTTTGACCCTTAATGACTCTCCCTGCTCCCTACCTGGGCACAAACTGGTTGGCAGGTCTCTTGGGCCGGTACTCGGGATGCACCATGAAGAGCATGTGAGGGAAACCAGTGCCGAAGTAGGCGCCATCCGTGTGATGGTGTCTTGATGACTTGGGTGTGTACACATCCATGCACTTGGGGCAGTAGAGCTTCACCATGGCTTCACCTGGGATGTCTGAAAGGCCTGGGAGACAGCCAGACTCAGCAGGCCAGGTATCCCCCTATTCCTACCTAACCTCCCCTCAGGACTCAGGCTCCAATGTGTTGAGCCCCAACTCCTTCCCATAAGACTGCCACACGGTGCTTTCCTTTCCCTTCTTCAACACTCACCAATGGGAAGCATTGGCTGGTTCTCACAGTACACACGAGGACAGTAACCAAAGTCTCCTTGCTGGTACTTTTCCAACTGAGGTGAATACAATGGAAGGGGTTGGCAGGTAGATGTAAAGAAGAGGCAACTCCCTTCGCAGCCCAACCCATACCACTCTGTCCCCCACTCCTCCCACCTCTGTCCAGAGGCCCCTTCTCTGGACTAGATGGGCTCTCAAACTTCTGTGTTGCCTTTCTTCCAATTAGGCAGGCTACAAACCATCAGAGCCATTTGTTGTTTGTTCCTTGAGGAAGAGGCAGTCTATCACAACTCTCTGATTCAAGGTCTGTCTCCCTCCCTGAAAACAATCCCTTCAGGATGACCCCCAATCAGAATTCAATTCCCAGGCCCAAGTTCTGGGGTTCTTCCCCTCTTCTCAGCTAGCTTCCTTAAACAGGGCTTAAACATGACTTCTTGCTGCAGGAACCTGTGTCTCTTACTGCTCAGAAGGAGGCAGGTAGGAGCAGAGAGGCCTCACCATCTGGGCGATGCCACGGTTGGTAAGGATGTAGCGGGCGTGGATCAATCCATAAAGCATCTCGGCTGCCTGCTCAATCAGGTCACTCTGGTTGGGGTTGTCTTCCAGTTCTTCATCTGAAACACAGCCCGGCCAAATGCAACTACTTGTTTTTCAGCTTTCCTAGGTGCCCTGCCCATATCCAGGGGCTGCGGGCTATTCAGTTTGCCTAGCACCTACTTTTGGGCCTTACCCCATCCAACATCTGGGCATGGGACCCAGAAACCTGGGCTTCTGACCCTTGCATCAAACGAAGACAGCTCTGCCTTCCCTTCACACCTTTTCAGCCTCTGCTCCTTGCTCTCCCTCCCAACTCCCTCCTCAATACATAACTGCAACAATGTCAATGCAGAAGATGAAACTCTAGACTGGAAGGTGCAAAGCAGGAGAAACAGACAACAAACCAGACCCATGAGGAAACGCATTTTGGAATAGGTCTGAATTGCGGATTTAGAAAACATGAGAACAAGTGATATACGTCACAAAACTAGACAAGAGTCAGGTGGAGGATCAAAATAAAGCATGAATTTGGGGTTAAAGAAATCAGAGAACCAAAGGAAATTTCAAAATTCAGGCAAGTGAATAGAGATTTGAAGAGAAAAATAGTGCACGCACACACACAAAACAACCCTGAGGGTGCCTCACCAGGCTCCAGGTCCAAGATCATGTCTAGAGCTTGTCGATAGTGAGGGACCTGCTCATTGAGTCCAGTAAGATTAAATTTGTCCTGGATGTAGTCTTCATCCACCTGTCAGGACATGGAAGCCAAGAGGGAACCCATATCAAAATCCTCATCTTTGACCTGGGCAAAATGCTCTAAGTGATGCCTTATCATCAACACAACTGCATCTGTTGTGCTTGTTTCTCACTCCCAACTCAGCAGAAGTACTTGTGTCTCTCCCTAGTTCACCTACACTCTCTCCCATAAAAGCTTTGGCTTTTCTTTTCTAAGGATAAGTAGATACAGCAATCTTTTTCTTAGACATTCTTTTCAAGATCTTTGTCCCTACTCCACTCCTGTATCCCGTCTCTAGGAACCAGTTTTGTCCTCTCAGCTGGCTAAGGAAGGTGGAAGCTGAACAGCATGGTTTCTGAACAAAACATTTCAATGTGTAGCATTTCAGTTTTCCTAAAGGCCACCTGAGACAAGTACTAGCAGTGCCACTTTAGTAACAAAAGATACAGGCCGGGCGCAATGGCTCACGCCTGTAATCCCAGCACTTTGGGAGGCCGAGGCAGGCAGATCACCTGAGGTCTGGAGTTCGAGACCAGCCTGGCCAACATAGTGAAACCCTGTCTCTACTAAAAATACAAAAATTAGCCAGGCATGGTGGCAGGCACTTGTAATCCCAGCTACTTGGGAGGCTGGAGCAGGAGAATCGCTTGAACCTGGGAGGCAGAGGTGGCAGTAAGCCGAGATCGCACCACTACCCTCCAGCCTCGGTGACAGAGTGAGACCCAGTCTCAAAAAAAAGAAAAAGACACAAATTGACTAGCCCAACGTTATATTGCTGGACGGTGGCAGACTCAGGACTTGGGCCCCAGTTTTGCCACTTTAGCACAGGTTCGTCGGGGTTTATAGGGGGGACTCTTTGCTGATAGGAAGTTTTCAAATAGCATGTAAGAGAACAGTGTAGAAGTGGAATATGTGAAGGAACGTCTGGTGGGAAGATATGTGAAGCTGGCAAGTAGGGAGGTTGAAGAGAACTCACTTCACAGAAGAATTCATTGCCACGGAGCCCACAGAACCAGGAAATCCAGGACACCTCCTCTGAGCTGCTCATCTTCACGTCAGCTAGAAAAAGAACAGTGTCAGTAAAGCGCAAGTTCTCCTTCCCTGCCTCTGGTATCCTCCCTCCTCCCACATTCGGCCCTCCAACCACGGGAGAATTCGGAACCACCCTTTCTTAAAGCAACCCAAACTCTGAAGCACTCCTCTCCAGCTCCTCTAATTTACATCTCAGCCCCTTTTCTTTGAAGTTAAACATTCTTTGGGGTCCCACCACTTGAAAGAAGCCAACAGATACTTTGACCCACCAGCCCGACCCACATCCCTGGAGCTCCCGAAGGCCAGGGCCCTCTCTCCTCTGTGTCAACTCCGGCAGGGACCTCGACTCAGGCTCCCTACCAATACAAGTCTCTGCATGACCCCCACGCCTTTCCCAAGGGTTTCCAAGTTTATCATTCTCAAGCAAGAACCGGGCTCCTCCTTTTCTCACGGGTTGGGGGCGATTGTCAGGTCCCTTTCACCGGAATCCACACATCCCCCCTCCGCTCCTCAGGCCACCTCTCCCTCCTTCGTGCCGGACCTGGTCGCTTCCTCCCCCGCCCCCACATCAAAGTCCGGAGACCCCATGTGCCGCTCCCAGCGACAAGGGACTCGGAGCAGCGACGACTTCAGACTCACCGGCTGGACGGGGACCAGGACTGGGGTGGGGTAGGGAAGTTGCTACTTCCAGGGAACGGCGGCGACCGCTACAGCGCAGGCCGCGGACCCGACCGCGGCAGGCGAAGTGGGGTGGGGGGAGTGGAAATTAGGGAGGGTGGGGAAGAGGGCAACACGCAAGCGCCAAGGGTCAGGTGCCGCGGTGGATGCCGGGACACGGAGTCCCCGGTAGAGAAAGAAACTGGCTAAATGAGAGAAAGCGAACTACCAATCCCAGGATGACCCGCGCACGACCTGGCTGTCACGAAGGCCCGGAGGAGGGCGCTTGCGGGCGGGGCACAACGAGAAGCCACCGGAAGCGGAAGCCAGGTATGGCGTTCGGGGCCCGGGAGTCTGGGCAATACAGTTTTGTGCTCACTGGGTGAAGAGGCTGACTTAGGGCGGGGAAAGGAGGGAGCCAGGCTGGATCTCTTTCCGCAGCTCTCCTCACGTTCCCCTCTAGTCCCGGCGAGGCGCTGCTGCCCAGGGGACTGGCCTATCCTCGGCCAATCCGCTGGGTCCTTATTGCCTGTTGGGCCCCTAGTGCGAATCAGTCCCGCCAGAGACCCTTGACGGGCATACTGTTTCCTCCGGGCTCCTGCCTCATGAGGGGAGAGGTGCGGCTTGGCTCCGTGCGTAGGGACTTGGGTGGGGTGGGGTGGGCGGTGTGAGAACTGGAACGTCCCAGTGCGCTAACCTGAGGTGGTGCCAGCCATTCTGCTCGTCCCTTTGCACTTCTCCATTTCCCCTTAGGCTCTAAGTGTGACCTTCGAACCCTGGTCAGAGTAATGGTGAGGGGCAGGCGTGACGTTATTTCATTACACGGCTTCTCGGCATTCCACAGGTTTCCCTCCGCCTCCTGAGGGCCTTTCCTAACCCACAGAGTGGATTCCTGGCTCCAGAAAATGGGCTTGGAGCGGGGGCCACGTTGAGGAAGGCGAAGGGCATTGTGGGGGCGTTATGTAAAAGTAGGACCCCAACCGACAGATCCTAGTGCTCGCGCCACCTGGGCGCGCGGAGCTTTGCTCGTTTACTATTGAAAAAGTTCCAGCGCGGGAAACTGAACCCGGAGCTTTGCGCACGCCCGAGCCCTCAAGTAATGTGGGTTGTGGTTTTTGTTGTTGTTGTCGCCACGCATGCGTCTTCGTGCCGTGTGGCTATTTGATTGTGTCAACTCTTCTGATTAGAATGGCGCCATTTTGCGGTACGGAAGCTACACAGCAACACGTATAGGAGACTCTCCCCGAGATCTTCTAGGGAGTGACCCATCTATTTTTGTTTGGGAAGAGGAAACTCCGAAATGGGATCGCGGAAGACTTAAAGGGCCAGGCTGATTTTTTTTTCCTACTGGTATGTCTTACGGGGTGGGAAAGTGGTTTCAGAAAGAGGCTGGTGTTTATTGTTGGTGAGGATGGGGGTGGGGGCCGGACGCAGGACCTCTGGACAACAGTCTCATGGAGTTTTATTAATCTTTACTAAGGAGCAAAGTCGGTATTGTAGGGTTCCATGTTTTTACGCAAAGTCTCTCTCCCTTAGGCCCTGCAGAGTCCTAAGTTGTGGGGTTACTTTAGTGGCAGGAAAGTGTTTTTGACTACTTTTTCTCATCCCAGCAGGTCTCTGAGGCTGTGGTTGCTACAGGGTCACCACGAGCTTGGCTTACTTGTCTCATCCTTCCCTTGCCTGGTATCATTTTCTCAGTTCTCCCAAAAGCCATGTCCCGGCCCTTGCTCATCACCTTCACCCCAGCCACTGACCCCAGCGACCTCTGGAAGGATGGGCAGCAGCAGCCACAGCCCGAGAAGCCAGAGTCCACCCTGGATGGGGCTGCAGCCCTAGCTTTCTATGAGGCCCTGATTGGGGATGAGAGCAGCGCTCCTGACTCCCAGAGATCTCAGACTGAACCTGCCAGAGAAAGAAAGAGAAAGAAAAGAAGAATAATGAAGGCACCAGCAGCAGAAGCAGTGGCAGAAGGAGCATCAGGAAGACATGGACAAGGGAGATCCCTTGAGGCTGAGGATAAGATGACTCACCGGATACTGAGGGCAGCCCAGGAGGGGGACCTGCCAGAACTTAGGAGACTGCTGGAACCGCATGAGGCAGGAGGAGCTGGGGGGAATATCAACGCCCGGGATGCCTTCTGGTGGACCCCACTGATGTGTGCTGCTCGAGCGGGCCAGGGGGCAGCTGTGAGCTATCTCCTGGGCCGTGGGGCTGCCTGGGTGGGGGTCTGTGAGCTGAGTGGCAGGGATGCGGCTCAGCTCGCTGAAGAAGCTGGCTTCCCTGAGGTAGCCCGCATGGTCAGGGAGAGCCATGGAGAGACAAGGAGCCCGGAAAACCGGTAAGGGGAAACTTTAGCTCAGACCCATGTCTCATTGTGTTCTGCCTCTCCCAGCCACACCACACCAGACGCCCCAGCACAGTGCTGAAGAGTTCTTTCCTTATCCTCATGTGTAGGTTGACAGGGTAGTATAGTCAAGTGGTTATAAACATGAGCTCCCTGGATTTAAAGCCTGATTCCACTTACTTGGGCAAACAACCTAATGTCTACATGTTCCAGTTTTCTCATCTTAGAAATGGGGGTAGTAAGAATTGTTGTTAGGATTCAATGGGTTAATATATGTAAAATGCTAGAATAGTGCATGCCGCATAGTATGCAATACATGAATGTTAGCTATAGTCATTATGACTAATGTCCCTCCCCTTGCCCAAGAGTTTGCTAGGTCTGGTTACCATTTTTTTCTTTCAACTATTCTGCTCTGGATCCCACAATGGTTTAAAGAAATTTGTTTTTAAGACAAGTCAAGTGCAGTAGTGAGAAGGAGGGGAAAAGTGGAGTAAGGAGTTTGATCTGTAACTGAGTGAACAATTAATTCAGATAACTCACCACCACCTTTGGACCAGCCTGGATCCCTCACTGTTAAGTAGGAAGGAAGGCAATTTGTCCCTTTTTTTTTTTTTTTTTTTTTTTGAGACAAAGTCTCACTCATCTCACTCTGTCGCTCAGGCTGGTGTGCAATGGTGTGATTTCAGCTCACTGCAACCTCCGCTTCCTGGGCTCAAGCATATTTTTTGTAGAAAGCAGGCTTTGCCGGGACATGGTGGCATGTGCCTGTAATCCCGGCTACTTGGGAGGCTGAGGCAGGAGAATCGCTAAGGTGGAAGTTGCAGTGAGCCAGGATCATGGCACTGCACTCCAACCTGGGCAGCAGAGCAAGACTCCATCTCAAAAAAAAAAAAAAAAAAAAGCAGGCGTTGCCATTTTGCCCAGGCTGGTCTCAAACTCCTGAGCTCAAAGCCATCTGCCCGCCTCTGCCTCCCAAAGTGTTGGGATTACAGGCGTGAGCCACTATGCCTAGCTGGCAATTTGTTCCTTAGCAGAAAAGCTGAAAAGATCCTATTCTACCCTGCCAGCCCCCTCTGAGGCCTCAACTCTTCCCCTTTTCCTTCCCCTGCCCTTAATGCTTTTTCTTCTTTCTCTGCAGGTCTCCTACTCCCTCCCTCCAGTACTGCGAGAACTGTGACACCCACTTCCAAGATTCCAACCACCGCACATCCACTGCTCACCTGCTGTCACTGTCGCAGGGTCCTCAGCCTCCCAACCTTCCACTTGGGGTGCCCATCTCCAGCCCGGGCTTCAAACTGCTGCTGAGGGGGGGCTGGGAGCCAGGAATGGGGCTGGGACCCCGGGGTGAGGGCCGTGCCAATCCCATCCCCACTGTCCTCAAGAGAGACCAGGAAGGACTAGGCTACAGATCAGCACCCCAGCCCCGAGTGACACATTTCCCAGCTTGGGATACCCGAGCTGTGGCTGGGAGGGAGAGACCCCCTCGGGTGGCCACACTGAGCTGGAGGGAGGAGAGAAGGAGGGAGGAGAAAGACAGGGCTTGGGAGCGGGATCTAAGGACTTACATGAACCTCGAGTTCTGACTTTGGTAAAGTCTGACCCTAGTCTGCTGCTGAAGTCTGAACTTGGGCCTCTGACCTGGGCCCTTTGACTTCCCCTTCCTGGGATCTGCCCAGATGCAGATCCTGAAGTTTTTGGTCAATAGGCTCTGTCTTCGTGAGAGACGGGCTGAGAGTCAGAAATAAATCAACCATTTGTGGTTTATTCACTTTTCTGGAAGCTATTTTGAGGAAGCCAAACAGAAGCCTGGGAGCCACATGCAAGTCCCACCTGAGTCAGAAGGGGCAGCCTCTCCAGGTGGCATGATAAGGTCACCTCCCTGCCAATCTGGGTTCACTTTCAGGTCCCAGACCCTCCTGGGAGTCCCCCACCTATTCTTTCAACCCCCCTGGACCAAGAATTGCCCAGCTTCGTGCAAGTCTCACTTCCCCCAGGAGGAGTTCCCTGACTACAGCCAATTCACTGATTCACAAACATAAGTCCATATACTATGTGCCAAGAATACAGGTAAAGACATTCCCAACCCTCAAAGAGTTCACAGCTGGAGAGGGAAAGTGCCATGTTATCAATTTTTTTCTTTTTTTTTTTGAGATGCAGTTTCGCTCTCATTGCCCAGGCTGGAGTGCAATGGCATGATCTCGGCTCACCACAACCTCTGCCCCCCGAGTTCAAGGGATTCTCCTGCCTCAGCCTCCCCAGTAGCTGGGATTACAGGCATGCCCCACCACGCCCAGCTAATTTTGTATTTTTAGTAGAGACGGGGTTTCTCCATGTTGGCCAAGCTGGTCTTGAACTCCCGACCTCAGGTGATCCGCCGGCCTCGGCTTCCCAAAGTGCTGGGGTTGCAGGCATGAGCCACCACTCCCGGCCCATGTTATCAAATATTATAATGCAGGGTGATAAGGGAAGTCAAGGCCTCTAGAGATGAGAATGGGTAGGGTTTTGCTGGAAGAGGCCAGTGTGATAGGAGGGCCCACGATTATCAAGCTTGTACACTTAGTTGAACTGGGACCAGAACTCTAGCCCCCAAATCTAAACTTTAAGTCAAACTTCTTTGTTCCACCCATTTGTCTACACTTTTCTTTCCCACACTTCCCCACTCTCCCACCACCCACCCCCTTGTCTTGCTCATGCCGGGTGGTAGGCACAAGAAGAGCTCACTGTTGTGAAATCCAGGAATTCAAATTTGCAGACGGGCAGGGGAGGGCTGTTCAAGTCGCAAGACTCCTCATTTTTTCTTTTCTGGGAAAGCCTTTCATGAAGTCTTGGATGCGAAATGGAGGAGTGGTGGGGGATGTGGAAAAGAACCCAGGGGCAGGGGGCTGTAGGGGGCGACCGAGTTTAGGGAAGCATGAGAAACCCGGGAAAATGGGGAGCTGGGTTTATATTAAGGTCCTGGTCCTTGCTAATCTCGGTTTGGCGGTCCGGCGCGCACAGACAGCGCGGGGTATACGGGGGCGGTCTATTCGCAGGGTCCGCCCCATGAGCTGCGGCACCGCCCCCGCGGGTCCTTCCAGTCCTGGTGCAGCTGCTTCCGGGCTTCGCGGCTCCCGGCGGCTCCCCAAGGCCGCGGCCCCGACGCTGGGCCCGGGAGCGGTCCCCGCGCACAGCGCCCGGACGCGTAGGTCCCGAAGTAGGCCCGCGCTTTGCTTCGTAACTGGGGATCTCTGAGGACATCTTAGTTCTGACCTTGTGGAGGCCGCGTCTCTGCTGCGTGTTCGCGGGCCAGTCGGGCCACTTTGTAGAAATCATAGCCCTCTAAATCAAGGGACGAACGCTGCTGGCTGGAGTTTGCTGGACACTTTCATTCCACCTCCTAACAAAGAGAATTCCTATTCCTTGAGGTCCCTTGGGGCAGCAGTTAAAGACTACACGATCCAGGAGCACCTAGGACCTGGGGCCACCTTCCTGCCCGCTTTATTGGATGGAGCACTGCCTCCCCAGTTTCTGGGACACCTTGGGGTGTGGCCTTGGTGAGTGAAACTTGGGGTGCTGCCTGCTGGGAAGGAAATCCGGAAACGCAGAGAGGACTCTCTGGTGGTGACCCAGGCCTTGTCAGATCTGAGATTCTTGGAATCTCAGATTGTGGGGGTGTGGATGGTGAATGAATTTGGGTATGCCCCCCTTTACCCCAGAACTGAAGAGGAAGCAAACTACTTGCCACACTTGAGGCTGCATGACTATTCAGAGAAGGGAGGAGCCACTTCTGAATTCAGAGTAGGACTGCATCACCAGGCAAATACCTGTTCTGAGCCAGAAAGACTCTGGCTTCTGAGGAGATCCTGAGAGTCTGAGTAGTGCCAGGAAGCAGCCTCAGAATTTGGGGGCCCATTACACACCCCAGCCATGTTCCTGCGACGGCTTGGTGGCTGGCTACCTCGCCCTTGGGGCCGCCGGAAACCAATGAGGCCTGACCCGCCTTACCCAGAACCCAGACGGGTGGACAGCTCCTCGGAGAATTCAGGAAGTGACTGGGATAGTGCCCCAGAAACCATGGAAGATGTGGGGCATCCCAAGACTAAGGACTCGGGGGCATTGAGGGTTTCTAGGGCTGCTTCCGAACCAAGCAAGGAGGAGCCCCAAGTTGAGCAGCTAGGGAGCAAAAGAATGGATTCCCTCAAGTGGGACCAGCCTATCTCTAGCACTCAAGAGTCTGGGAGACTGGAGGCTGGAGGGGCCAGTCCCAAACTCAGATGGGATCATGTGGATTCAGGTGGCACCAGGAGACCAGGGGTGTCCCCTGAAGGGGGACTGAGCGTCCCTGGGCCAGGAGCCCCATTGGAGAAACCTGGTAGGCGTGAGAAGCTGTTGGGCTGGCTGCGGGGGGAACCAGGAGCTCCCTCCCGGTACTTGGGGGGCCCAGAAGAGTGTCTGCAGATCTCCACCAACCTGACCCTGCATCTTCTGGAGCTGCTGGCCTCTGCCCTGCTGGCCCTGTGCTCACGACCACTGCGGGCAGCCTTGGACACACTGGGCCTGCGTGGACCGCTGGGCCTCTGGCTACATGGCCTACTGTCCTTCCTGGCTGCCCTGCATGGGCTCCATGCTGTTCTGAGCCTACTTACTGCCCACCCTTTGCACTTCGCCTGCCTCTTTGGTCTCCTGCAGGCCTTGGTGCTGGCTGTCAGCCTCCGGGAGCCCAATGGGGATGAGGCGGCCACTGACTGGGAGAGTGAGGGGTTGGAGAGGGAAGGTGAGGAGCAGAGGGGAGACCCGGGAAAGGGGCTGTGACCGTGGGGTGGGGGCAAAGGGTGAAGAGAGTGTGGGCTTTAGGAGAAAAGTGTGAGGCATGACCCAAATTGTAAGCATAGGGACCTCAGGGATGGGGAAGAAACCCGAGTACGAGGGTGCAGGGCCCCCCTTCATACACAGGAGAGAACAGAACTATTTAGGGTGTTTGTGTTTATGGACAGTGAGGGCACTGCTCTTGGATTCACCAGCTGTTATTTTTGCTTTTACTTTTCTCCCACCTTCAGTTTTTTTTTTTTTTCCACCTCCACTTTTTAAAAGCAAAAAAAAAAAAAAGTATGATGGTGGTGAATAAAGACCAAAGGGTCCTCTCTACCTTTGAAAACTCTCCTGGGGTGGAGGAGACCAGGGCAGGATAGACAGACCTCTGCAGTAAGAGAGTGGTTGGGAAACCCAGGGTGTTCCTTGGATCTCAGGATCTGAGCCATCGAGGGAAGAGTGGGGCTGCTAGGCAAGTGGATTAGGGGGTCTGGATAGGGCCCCACAGGTGACAGGGAGCCTGCAGGGCGGATCTGGTGATCATGGGAGCCAGAGGGAGTGGGGACAGTGCAGGCAGTATTGGCAGGAGGGCCAGTGCAGAAGGGCTGGTAGCTCAGGCAGTGTGGGGGAAGCACTGAAGCCTGTAGTCCCCACTTGGGGGCTAGGGGTTTGCTCACTCAGCAATAAATAACTGTGTCACATCAAATCCTAAATATACCACTACAAAGTGAGAGTTACTGCCACTCTGTTCTTACTGACACCGTCCAGCTGGGAGTTTAGGTGGTAGAGGATCCAGGGGGAATGTTGAAATGGGAGGAGTGGGAATGACGTCTGGAGACAAACCCCAGAATGAGATGAGGATTGAAAAATTATCTTTATTATCTTGAGTGGGAGCTGGAGCTGGAAGTCTCCAGCTTCTCCCTCCAACAACTCAGCTCCCATTGTACCCATCTGGGGACTTAGATGAAGTTACAGGTCAGTTATTGGACAGCTCACAGGCCTCTGTGATGGGGGGAGGGAAAAAGAAGGACAGAAGGGAAGTCCAGGGAGAAAAGCAAAGTTGATAGTAATGGGGTGGGGGAGAACGTGTTCTTTCATTCCCTGTGTCAAAGGGGAGTCTCTAAGGCTCTTTTCCCTCCACGTATGACCCTCTGCCCCCTTTATCCAGTGCAAACTCAGAAACCTCTCTTTTGAGTAGCCCAGAACCCATCCTGCCTCCCTCAGGTGACATCACAGCTCTTAGCCACATCCCTCTGGTGACATCACACGAGCCTCTTTCACCCTGTAACACCAGAAGACTTGGTGAGTCCTAATCCTGTTTTATGAGATTTTAACCCCTTACCTTGATTCCTAGGAGTCAATAAGAAGGCTTTGGAGTCCAGGCAGGAAGTCAGGGACTTGAATTCCTCCACACACTTTTCGGGAGGATGTGGTGAGCGATCTGGAAGGGCAAGGTGGGGTCAGGCCAGTCAAAACCCCTGGAAGCACCTAGCTCTTCCTGGGAGGGTGTCATAGGACCCAGAGTGAGGAGTTCTCCTGCCCTCCCTTGTTTCCCTCCAACCCTTCCTGCCTTGTATCCCTACTCACTGTAGAGGAGAAAGCGCTGGTAACCCTGGCCTGTCTCATTCAGCATGATTCCACCTGGGCATGAGCTGGAAAAGAGCTCAGTCTTCATGTCAGGGCGGCCTGTCAAGGCAGGTGGGAGAAGTATGAGAACAGAGATGCAGAACCAAACTCAAGGGAGGGTGAGGGCTGGGAAGAACCAACCTTCAGTTCTGAGATCTGTGCTCCCTTCAGTCAGGTGGTAGATCCATTTCCGGGGCACACAGAGCCCATCTTTCCTGCAGAGGTGGTGGTGGCAAGGAGGAAAGAATGAGCATCACCCCAACCATAGTGTCCCAGCTTCTTTTTTTTTTTTTTGAGACAGAGTCTCACTCTGTTGCCCAGGCTGGAGTGCAGTGGCGCCATCTCGGCTCACTGCAAGCTCTGCCTCCCGGGTTCACGCCATTCTCCTGCCTCAACCTCGTGAGTAGCTGGGACTACAGGTGCCCACCACCATGCCCAGCTAGTTTTTTATATTTTTAGTAGAGACGGGGTTTCACTGTGTTAGCCAGGATGGTCTCGATCTCCTGACCTCGTGATCTGTCCGCCTCAGCCTCCCAAAGTGCTGGGATTACAGGCGTGAGCCACCACGTCTGGCCTGTCCCGGCTTCTATTTACTCCATTGTATTTGTTATTGAAGCCCAGCTCTCCTTGGGTTTCAAGCTACCAAGCATTGGTTAGGCACATCTTTCTCCAGAGGGCAATTAATACAGCCACTGAATTCCGTGGGCCAAGCATAGTAGATATACCAGCTAAGAGGCCAGCTCTTGGTGGGTGGATTCTCACACTTTGGGCAGAGACTGAACCCAGTGATGCTTCTGCCTCCTTACCACTCACATGCGGATGGTAGCACGAAGGTGGAGCTGCATCGGGGCAGAGCCAGCAGCCATATTGAAGACAATGTTGTCCACAGGGTCAAAAGTTGCCAACTCCTCCTTGGTGGGAGCTGCCCCTGCGATAAAGTACCACTGGCCCAAGTGGACCTCTGGGAACTGGAGAGACAATGAAGGGAGCAAAAGAGGGTGGGTTCCAGCACAGGATGGGTTCAACCTCTTCATCAGTCAAAACAGCAAGATTTAGGGGTAGAGGTGTTGGCTGCCTTCCTCTTTCCAACTGGGGATTGGATCCATGACAAAGAGTCATTAAATGACTTTTCCTCTTTGCCCCTCCCCAGTCAACCTGGGTAACCACCCCACCCCCCAATTCTGCCATGCCTCTGCATTGATGGCCACAGTACTGATATTTTTCTTCTTGCTTTCATTATCACAACACTCACACCCCCTTCCTCTCTTCCTTTCCCAAGATGGTCTCCAGTCATCCTAGGCCATCCACCCAAGTCCCTCAGAGCCTCCACCATAGGCTTCCCCCAATCTCAGTCCATACCTCCTTCCCATCCACGCCCAGAGTTGTCAGTTGACTGTGCTCAGGGCACTGGTAGATGGAGTTAAGGATAATACCATAGAAGTAGAGCAGAGCTGCCCAAATTTGGTGGAACATCTTCAGGCAGGAGGGAGCTGGTGCTCTGTGTGCCTTAACTGCTCTCTCCCCTACTGGCTGCTCAGTCCACTCTGCTTTCAGCTCCCTTGCGTTCGACCCTTGACCCTTTCACCTGCTAATGAGTAACTTCAACCTTGTTTTCCAACCCAAACCTGGATTACTTAGTGTTTGGGACTTCCTCCCCCTCTTCCGGATGCAACCACTCCATAGTACACCCTGGCATGTCCAGGGTTTCTCAGGAGTTATGAGGAGAGCTGAGCTGTCCAGGGAGAAGCCTGTGGTCTTTGAACCTGTATCTGAGCTGGTTATTTGTTGCACTGTGCAGCACTGAAGGGAAGTAGCTTGACTGGGCCTCTCATTCATTCACTTAGCAAACTGTTTTGAATCCCAAGTCCCAGTTGTTTCCCAAGAACTAGCTAATCCCCGGGGACATAAAAAAACGAATAAGACATAGCCCCTGATCTTGAAGAAGTCGTTAGAGGGAAAACTAGCTGTGTAGACAAACCATTGCAATACAACTTGGTAAATGCTTTAGAACAGGTATGATGCAGGTGCTGGGGCACGGTGGATTGCTCTCTTTAGTTTACAATTAGAAAAATATGTATACCCTGGCAGTGTTCACTGACACATTCACTCAACATTTATTACTACAAAGAGGCTATGTAATCTGGCTGTTAGAGAGGATAGATGTTGGTGTCAGGCAGAATGTGTCCAAACCCTAACTACAGGCAGGGCAGGTAGCTCATGCCTGTAATCTCAGCACTTTGAGAGGCCAAGGTGGGCGGATGGCTTGAGCCCAGGAGTTCAAAACCAGCCTGGGCTACATGGCAAAACTCTGTCTCTACAAAAAATACAAAAATTAGCCGATGTGGTGGCACACGCCTGTAGTCCCAGCTACTAGGGAGGCTGAGGAGGGAGGATTGCTTGAGCCTGGGATGTCGAGGCTGCAATGAGCCCTGATTGTGCCACTGCACTCCAGCTTGGGCGACAGAGACTCTGTCTCCAAACAAACAAAACACCACCAACCCCTAACTGCTATGTCTGTTTTTTCATCTGTAAAATTGGCAAATCATCAATCTTATAGGATTAAATGAAATAATGCACATAAAGCCCTTAGCAAAGACTTGCACATGGTAAGTCCAAAGTATATATTTGCTATAATTAATAGTAATGTTTGCAAAGCACTTAGTTTCTGGTGGGTAATAAGTTCTCAAATAATAGGCAGTAAGAATTGCCAAATAGGTTGTCCTTGGATAGCACCAAGTGACTGGAGCAGTTAATGCTGTGAGAGATGGATCTTCCTCGATAGATTATTTATTTACTTATTTATTTTTAAGACAGGGTCTCACTCTGTCGCCCAGGCATGACTTTGACTTCCCCGGCTCAGATGATTCCCGAGTAGGAGGTATAGGTGCACGCCATCACGCCTAGCTAATTTTTTGTAGACACGGAGTTTCACCATGTTGCCCCAGGCTGGTATTAAACTCCTGAGCTCAAGCAGTCGGCCCACCTTAGCCTCCTAAAGTGTTGGGATTACAGGCATGAGCCACCACACCTAGCTTGATAAATTTATATCCCATGGACTGCCACAAAAAATTTGCCAAGGGCTGAGGCTTGCGATTTAGTTAAAAAACAAACAAAATTTGGGTGACCAGTATATTAGAGTTTATTAATACTGTTCTATTTTGGTGTAATGTTTGAATTTTTTTTTTTTTTTTTTTGAGATGGGAGTCTCGTTCTGTTGCCCAAGCTGGAGTGCAGTGGCGCGATCTTGGCTCACTGCAATCTCCACCTCCCGGGTTCAAAGCAATTCTCTGCCTCAGCCTCCCAAGTAGCTGGGATTACAGGCGCCCGCCACCACGCCAGGCTAATTTTTGTATTTTTAGTAGAGATGGGGTTTCACCATTTTGGCCAGGCTGGTCTTGAACTCCTGACCTCGTGATCCACCCGCCTCATCCTCCCAAGTGTGAGTCACTGCGCCCGGCCGAAAATTTTTGTAATAAAAAGCTAAAATGTGGTTAGGCACAGTAGCTCACACCTATAATCCCAGCACTTTGGGAGGCCAAGTCTGCAAGACCAGGCTGGGCAACATAGCAAGACCCCATCTCTATAAAAATAAAATTAGCCAGGTGTGGTGGTGTGCATCTGTGGTCCCTACTAGGGAGGCTGAGGTGGGAAGATCGGTTGGGCTCGGGAGGCAGAGGCTACAGTGAGTTGTGATTGCGCCACTGCACTCCAGCCTGGGCGACAAAGCGAGACCCTCTCTCAAAAAAATAAGCTAAAATGTTAACAGCTTTTTATTGGGGCAGTAAAGTACAAGTGCTCGATCTGGAGTCCTGTAGGCCTGGATTTGTCAATTCTGACACTTATGTTCGTCTAAGTGTACTCACTTAAAAAATGTTAAAAGCTCGTTAAAAGGCTTTTTAAAATAATACACAAAACCCGTAGTATATGGGCTGGCACAAGTGCTCATTAAACAGCTGCTTATTAGAACTCTTAACTAAAATATAACCAGGACCTGGGTATAAACTACGAATCCCAGAAAGGTTGGACACCCCAACAGCGATGTGTCTTTCTGGAGGACTCGCAGTTTCGCGGGGCCGAGGCCCTTGGCCCAGGGCAGGTTAAGAGAAGAGGGCACGGAGAGGCGGTAATGCCTCCACCCCCGGCCTTCGGAAGCACGCTGGCCGGCCTTTAAATTCCCCACGGTCAGGGTCTTGTCTTTCTGTCCACTCGGACTCCATTTGCTCCCAATTCTCAAACTCGGAAGCGCCTCTTTTCTTGACAAGTCGTGCAACTTAGTAGCACGTTTACTTTTC
This sequence comes from Homo sapiens, assembly GCF_000001405.40. Classification (NCBI taxonomy): domain Eukaryota; kingdom Metazoa; phylum Chordata; class Mammalia; order Primates; family Hominidae; genus Homo; species Homo sapiens. Next base: position 2,952,424 of record NT_167249.2, on the reverse strand, counting down.
CTAAAACGTGTCATGTCCCCTTGGCCACACACCGACGAATGTGACGCCCACAGCCCTTAAAACGCCCACCCGGCAGAACCGAAATCTAGCCCAACCAAGCAACCGAGAACAAAATTGACCAGTGCCGCCCCCAAACGCCTACTGAAAGAGTAACTTCCGGAGGCACAGAAGAAAGGGCGCAGCGAGGGCAATAGGGTGGAGAAGAGTTTTAGCTGGCTAGGACAGTGCCGCCTGAAATTATCAGCCTGCCAAGATTTAAACATAGATGAATGTGGCATAATCCCCCATCTCCAAAGTCCAAGGTCCATACGACCGTCCATAGCCCCTCTCGAGGCAGTGGTAGAGTCCCAGCTGGTGACTGTTTTTCAGGCATTTACGGTAGCCACCTCAATCTTCTAGCGCTCAAGCGCGCGCACAGACGTGAACGCCGCCAGAGGGGGAGGGGGTGGGGCGATGCTTAAGTGTCCACGCATCCGTAGTGCGACGCACGCAGGCGTAGTACGGTCCCCCGGGCGACAGCGGTGGCGGCTCCTCGGGGTGCTCGGCTCCCTCCCACCTAGGCCGGCCCCGGCCCGACTCGCCCTCAGAAACTCACTGTTTGGGGCTGCGGACTTTCTCGTCGTGCCCCACAAAAGTAAAGCTTGGGGACCTGGGGGGAGCCGGAAGTATCGCTTCGAGATCCCCAAATACTATCGGGGAAACGGAAGTGGCCGTCGGTGGCAGGTTTGGGGGAGACCGGAAGTGACGGTCCGTGGGGAAGTCGGGGGCGGAGCCGCGGGGTGGTGGGTGGGTGGGTGTGTGTGTGTGTGTGTGTGTGTGTGTGTGTGTGTTTGGCTGTGGGTTAGTTGTGCCGTTCTGCTGGAACACCGTGGGAAGGCAGTAGACGCGGGCAGTCAGCTAGCAGGTCCGTCGCCCCGTGAGTGCCGTTTCGGGTCTATAGTGAGTTAGGAGGGTTCGATGGGCGTGGCGCGCGTGCGCGAAACCACTTTCTCCGCAGAGTGTGGGGCGACCACCGCTTTCGCGTTGTCCCAGGATTTTCCGACCTCTGGGGCGCTTGTCCTGCCGTGACCGGTGATGACACTAGTCTCTGGTCTCGTGCTTCCTTCCTAATCTGACTGGCTCCCTGCTTATTGTGATTGGCGTCGTGGAGCCCCTCCCACCTCTCGTCCTCCAGCTCCCTAAGCCGTCGATCTCCTGCCCTTTGTGTTTCTCTCCCTGTGCCCCGGAATCAGAAGGGGGATGGGGACAGGTGTGAATGTGTGTGTGTGCAGGAGAAACTTTTTAGGTATTGGGGCAGGGATTAATGCTAGGGAGTCTTTCGGGTACACTCTGGTCTGGGCAACAGCGGGCCCTCCTTCCTTCGTTCTTCTTTAGAGACCTGTCGGCCATGGAGCCTAATGATAGTACCAGTACCGCTGTGGAGGAGCCTGACAGCTTGGAGGTGTTGGTGAAGACCTTGGACTCTCAAACTCGTACCTTTATTGTGGGGGCCCAGGTGAGACACCTCACTAGTTCTGGAAGACACCTTTAGCTTTTCCTCGTTTAGGCCCCTTAGCCTGAGAGATGAGCTTGATTTTCTGGTCACCAGATTTTCTTTTTTTTGAGATGGAGTCACGCCCTGTCTTCCAGGCTGGAGTGCAGTGGCGCGATCTCGACTCACTGAAACTTCCACCTCTTGGGTTCAAGCGATTTTCCTATCTCAGCCTCCTGAGTAGCTGGGATTATAGGCGTGTGCCACTATACCCAGCTGATTTTTGTATTTTTAGTAGAGACGGGGTTTCACCATGTTGGTCAGGCTGGTCTCGAACTCCTTACCTCAGGTGATGTGCCCTCCTCGGCCTCCCAAAGTGCTGGTATTACAGGCATGAGCCACCGCACCTGGCCTCAGATTTTCTTTTTATTGATCCCTTTGTTCGTATTCCAGTAGAACGTTTTCTGATGTTTTGTGAGTGAGGCTGATTTTGTTCTGTCCTCCACATGGATAGAACTTAATGCAGAGGGAAATACAGAGGAAGGAAGAATCTGTGTGTCATCATCATGGGTGGACCCCAACCCAAAGGGACAGGCATGGCTCTGGCCTTTGGGAAGGGAAACAGCACAGGAACCCTAAGCAAGTGTGTCTTACTGATAGACATTGGTCAGGTCTATGCTGTGTTTTTAAAGGGTAGAAATCAGAACCCATAATGGAGATAGGTCCTTGATAGACTGTTGAGTGAAATTACTAATTTTTATGGCATAGCTTGAGTCTCTTGAGCTTAAAGCCTTGGACATAGCTATCTGTGTCTTTACTCCTGTAATACTTGGAGACAAATTGCATGTGGGGTGGTCCATGGTTTTCTAAAATGTGATATTACCTGGATATAAGAAAGCCATATATAGACTTGTGATTAGATGTATATAAATACTCTGGTACTTCCCAAGAGTCAGTTTGTAGTTAGGAAAAATATTTCTCTTTTTGCTTTTTTTTTTTTTTTTGAGATGGAGTTTTGCTCTTGTTGCCCAGGATGGAGGGCTGGGGCGCAATCTCAGCTCACTGCAACCTCTGCCTCCTGGGTTCAAGCAATTTTCCTGCCTCAGCCTCCTGAGTATCTGGGATTACAGACGACGCCTACTACCACGCCCGGCTAATTTTTGTATTTTTAGTAGAGACAGGGTTTTACCGTGTTGGCCAGGCTGGTCTTGAACTCCTGACCTCAGGTGATCCACCTGCCTCGGCCTCCCAAAGTGCTGGGATTACAGGTGTGAGCCACTGTGCTGGGACCTTTTTTGCTTTCTTATCTTCTTAGTCTTTCTTCAGTAACCTGATACCAGACCCCATCTTCTTTGCCATTTTTTAATCTTGGAAATCACAGGAGAGTCTGGTAAATAAACTGGTATCATCTTGTGTTTGGAAAGGGGTCACTGATGTCTCTAGACACATACTCCCTTGGATGCCAGACAGATAATATAATGTCCATGTGGTTTTTTTTTGTTTTTCATCCGTGTTATTTTTCCTGGATCTATAACCTGAGCTTCATTAAGTTTATTTATTTAATTTTTTGAGATGGAGTCCCTCTCTGTCACCCAGGCTAGAGTGTAGTGATGCGATCTCGGCTCACTGCAACCTCCGCCTCCCGAATTCAAGTGATTCTCTTGCTTCAGCCTCCCTAGTAGCTGGGATTACAGGCGACCACCATGCCTGGCTTATTTTTTTGTATTTTTGGTAAAAAAGGGGTTTTACCATGTTGGCCAGGCTGGTCTCGAACTCCTGACCTAATGTGATCTGCCTGCCTTGGCCTCCCAAAGTGCTGGGATTACAGGTGTGAGCCACCGCGCCAAGCCAAATTTATTGTCTGTATTTTGACAGCTGTTACTTTAGTTTAAGGGTTTGCACAGTAATGATCTCACGGTCAAGACAAACGGGTAGTGATTCTGTGGTGGTTTTTACCCCTCACCTCCACAACTCGGTTGTCTGTCTTTGTTCTTCCTCTTTCCTCCATTCTTTCCATTCCTGTGCATGCCTCTTCTTTTCAGATGAATGTAAAAGAGTTTAAGGAGCACATTGCTGCCTCTGTCAGCATCCCATCTGAAAAACAACGGCTCATTTACCAGGGACGAGTTCTGCAAGATGATAAGAAGCTTCAGGAATACAGTAAGGGGGCTGGGGAGGCAGTTCAGAGGTTGGGGCTACTGTCTGGAGGGATGAACTGAGGCCATGGGTTTACCTGTTCATACTATGTTTTGGTGTGTGTCTATTTTTCTGCAGATGTTGGGGGAAAGGTTATCCACCTGGTGGAACGGGCTCCTCCTCAGACTCACCTCCCTTCTGGGGCATCTTCTGGGACGGGGTCTGCCTCAGCCACTCATGGTGGGGGATCCCCCCCTGGTACTCGGGGGCCTGGGGCCTCTGTTCATGACCGGAATGCCAACAGCTATGTCATGGTTGGAACCTTCAATCTTCCTGTAAGCTTATGTTCCACAGGGGAGGGCTTTTGTGGGTAGCTTTGGTTGTGGTAGCACCAGGGAATTAATAAGATAGATGCTTCCATCTTTAGATTGGGTTCAGGGGGCCCTGTGGTGTGCTATTGGTCTCAGTCTTTAAGGAGAAAAGGAGGTAGGGCTCCAGGGAATGAATTGGAGGTGTGGAGGCCTTAGTGTTGGCTTCTCCCAGAACAACTTCCCTTACCCTTTCCCCAGAGTGACGGCTCTGCTGTGGATGTTCACATCAACATGGAACAGGCCCCGATTCAGGTATTGAGGGGCCTCCGAGGGTCAGGGAAGGGGATCTGGGAGAAGGAGGCTGGGAGGTGGGGTGGACCTGGCTGAGAGATGGCTGGGACCTGATTTAGTAGGTGGTAGAACTCATGGCTTCATCTGTAACCTACCCTGATAAACCTTCTCTCATTGTAGAGTGAGCCCCGGGTACGGCTGGTGATGGCTCAGCACATGATCAGGGATATACAGACCTTACTATCCCGGATGGAGGTAAGTGGGCAAGGCTGGCTAGGGTCTCTCTCCACCCTCCCTCTCCCTTTTCTCTCAGCCTGGGAGTTAGGGCTTCACTGGCCACATTCACAGGGTTTGGCCTTCATAATCTAGTCTTCTCTGCAGTATTCATTCTTTTGGGCAGAAAAAGTATCTTTGTGAGGCTCTCTCATTTCTGCCAATCCTCTTGGTGCCTGGTATCTGGGGAGTTTGTTTCAGACTTAGTCTCATGGCATCTCTTTTCAATTAAAGGATTCTACTCTCTTAACTTGTGGAGGCTGGGAAACCAACTTGTGGAGGAAAGGAAACCACAATCTCTACTCTTTGTTAGAAATTTATTTACAAATATTACAGATGCTGTGGCCGGGTGTGGTGGCTCCTGCCTGTAATCCCAGCACTTTGGGTCGCCATGGCAGGGGGATAACGTGTGGTCAGGAGTTCCAATCCAGCCTGGCCAACATGGTGAAACCCTGTCTCTACTACAAGTACAAAAATTAGTTGGGTGTGGTGGCACGCGCCTGTAGGCCTGGCTACTTAGAAGGCTGAGGCAAGAGAATTTCTTGAACCTGGGAGGCGGAGGTTACAGTGAGCTGAGATCATGCCACTGCACTCCAGCCTGGGCAACAGAGCGAGACTCTGTCTCAAAAAAAAAAAAAAAAAATTACAGATGCTTATTATGCATCTAATTTGTGTCAGTCTTATGCTAGTTGCTAGCGAGTCGGAGATAAAATTGCAGAGCCATGCCTTCAGGGAGTCTAGTTAGGATACTTTCTCTGTTCAGTCTCCTGTAGAGTAATCCTCTGCAGCAGTCTTACCCTGCCTTTGGTATCCTGACTCTCCCCTACCTTCAGTGTCGAGGAGGGCCCCAACCGCAGCACAGTCAGCCGCCCCCGCAGCCACCGGCTGTGACCCCGGAGCCAGTAGCCTTGAGCTCTCAAACATCAGAACCAGTTGAAAGTGAAGCACCTCCCCGGGAGCCCATGGAGGCAGAAGAAGTGGAGGAGCGTGCCCCAGCCCAGAACCCGGAGCTCACTCCTGGCCCAGCCCCAGCGGGCCCAACACCTGCCCCGGAAACAAATGCACCCAAGTGAGAGATGGAGGGAATCTTTAGTGGGTGGGGAATCCTAAGTGAAGTATGGGGAGAAGGAAATGAACCATGGCAAGGGAGGGAAAGGATTACTTGGAGGTCTTAGTTGAAGGGTTAGCATTGAGGGGCGAGGAGGGGCTCTCTCGGTATAGGTAAATGACGCTAGGACAGGCAGCTGAGAAGAACTGCTGCTCTCCCTATGGCAAGGAAATCCAAATGGTATCTCCTGAGCCTGATCGGAATTCTCCTCTGAGTTCACGAAGGCCTGCTCTCTTTCTTAGAATTAGTCTTTCACCATTGTAGGTGCAGGATTGTGGTGGGGAGGGTGGGAGCAGTTCATTTTCTTCTCCCTATCCTCTCATGGGTGGGAGTAAAGAATAGAAGCTTTGGCTGGGTGCAGTGGCTCATGCCTGTAATCTCAGCACTTTGGGAGGCAGAGGCGGGCAGATCACCTGAGGTCAGGAGTTCGAGACCAGCCTGGCCAACATGGTGAAACCCTGTCTCTACTAAAAAATACAGGCCGGGCACAGTGGCTCACGCCTGTAATCCCAGCACTTTGGGAGGCCGAGGCGGGTGGATCATGAGGTCAAGAGATCGAGACTATCCTGGCTAACATGATGAAACCCCGTCTCTACTAAAAATACAAAAAATTAGCTGGGCATGGTGGCGGGCACCTGTAGTCCCAGCTACTCGGGAGGCTGAGTCAGGAGAATGGTGTGAACCCAGGAGACGGAGCTTGCAGTGAGCTGAGGTCGCACCACTGCACTCCAGCCTGGGTGATAGAGCGAGACTCTGTCTCAAAAAAAAAAAAAAAAAAAAAAAACAAAAATTAGCCGGGTGTGGTGGCAGGCAACTTAATCCCAGCTACTTGGGAGGCAGAGGCAGGAGAATCGTTTGAACCTGGGAGGCGGAGGTTGAAGAGAATAGAAGCTCTGCTGGTCCAGAGAAGGATTGGGCCAGGGCTCTGGGAGACCAGGGAGAAAGAGGGCACATGTGGTCCCTGTTGACTGTGAGGGTGGGAATCTGAGGAAGGCTTTGGCTCATTGCCCCTTGGGTTTGTCCACAGCCATCCTTCCCCTGCGGAGTATGTCGAGGTGCTCCAGGAGCTACAGCGGCTGGAGAGTCGCCTCCAGCCCTTCTTGCAGCGCTACTACGAGGTTCTGGGTGCTGCTGCCACCACGGACTACAATAACAATGTGAGCCCTTTGATGGCCCTGCCCTTTCTCCTCAGCCCCAGTACTCCCAAAACAGAACAGGCTGAAATACAGATAACTCTTTCCCTCCCTGGAAAAACATTGCAACAGGGCCAGGTGCAGTGGCTCACGCCTGTAATCCCAGCACTTTGGGAGGCCAAGGTGGGCGGATCATCTGAGATCGGGAGTTTGAGACCAGCCTGGCCAACATGGTGCAACCCCATCTCTACTGAAAATATAAACATTAGCTGGATGTAGTGGTGCACACCTGTAATCCCAGCTACTCAGGAGGCTGAGGCAGGAGAATCGCTAGAACTCGGGAGGAGGGGGTTGCAGTGAGCCGAGATTGCACTACTGCACTCTAGCCTGGGTGACAGAGCGAGACTGTCTCAAAAAACAAAACAAAACAAAAAAACACACATTGCAACAAAACAGTTTCTCTCTAAACCTGTAAGTGATTTTGTCCTCCCTTACAGAGAAGGTGATAATCTTTGCTGTAAGCACTGTCCTCGTATCGTACCCCTTGTGCCCCTGAATGAATTTAGAAAATGTAAAGTACAGGAGATCAGTATATGATGACTTACTGATTCATAGTAGTGTTTTAATAGGATGTTCCTTATGTGAATAAGATATAATTTATTTGCAAAGATTTGGTCTACATGTAAACTTCCAAGGATATAACTGAAAGTTTTGGAGGACATGGTATTCTCAGTAGGCATTATTGCTTTTATTAGTGAGATGGACTCCAGCTTGATATTTTCTGCCTTTTTGTGTTTGGCTGGTTGTGCGCAGCACGAGGGCCGGGAGGAGGATCAGCGGTTGATCAACTTGGTAGGGGAGAGCCTGCGACTGCTGGGCAACACCTTTGTTGCACTGTCTGACCTGCGCTGCAATCTGGCCTGCACGCCCCCACGACACCTGCATGTGGTCCGGCCTATGTCTCACTACACCACCCCCATGGTGCTCCAGCAGGCAGCCATTCCCATACAGGTGGGTTAGGGGGAGTCTGGCCTGAGGGAGAGTGAGGGGTGTTGATAGAGTGACCCAGGGTAGCTACTGGGCCTGAAGGAGGTTAGGAAAGGAGGAGACTGGAAACATGGTGATGAAGGCTGGAGATACTTTAGAGGTTTATCATGAGGTTTTCTTGGTTAGGCTCTTGTATTTTTCTCACATCTGCCTGTCCATCTGTCTTTTTCAGATCAATGTGGGAACCACTGTGACCATGACAGGAAATGGGACTCGGCCCCCCCCAACTCCCAATGCAGAGGCACCTCCCCCTGGTCCTGGGCAGGCCTCATCCGTGGCTCCGTCTTCTACCAATGTCGAGTCCTCAGCTGAGGGGGCTCCCCCGCCAGGTCCAGCTCCCCCGCCAGCCACCAGCCACCCGAGGGTCATCCGGATTTCCCACCAGAGTGTGGAACCCGTGGTCATGATGCACATGAACATTCAAGGTGAGAATAGTTGCTGGCGAGAAGAGCAGGATCAGCATGATGAGGGAGGTTCATGCTGAGGTGTGAGGGAACAGGGTGGGGAAGGGAGAGGCACATGCTGGTGGTGGTAGCCTGGGGACCAGAGCAGAAGCTTAAGTAGACAGATGTGGGGGGTGTGGGGGTTGGTTTGTCTTTGGAGGTGTGTTTGTGTGGTGAAGGGAGTACCTCTCCCTGTTTAGATGGAGGGAAAGGCAGGCTTTCTGATTGGGGGATTATGGGCCTGAAGTATGCCTGATCTCAGAAGGATATAGTTAGGCCTTGGCCCTACCTACCTCAGGGCCACTGTCTCTGTCTCCCTGCCCAGATTCTGGCACACAGCCTGGTGGTGTTCCGAGTGCTCCCACTGGCCCCCTGGGACCCCCTGGTCATGGCCAAACCCTGGGTAAGAGTGAGGGCATCAGGGCAGGCTGAGCTCTGGGTAGAGAAAGGGAAGGGCTGAGTGGGTGGGTTGAAGGGGTCCAGGTTCAAGGTTACATCAGACCCGCCCCCCAGGCTCCACCCTCATCCAGCTGCCCTCCCTGCCCCCTGAGTTCATGCACGCCGTCGCCCACCAGATCACTCATCAGGCCATGGTGGCAGCTGTTGCCTCCGCGGCCGCAGGTAATGACCTGGAAGGGGAGGCTTGGGAGGTAGGGCACAGTCCATGGTGGCAGCTGGCTGGCAAGGGCCTGGCCCTCAGCCCTCTTCGGTCTGTCTCTTCTGCCACCCACAGGACAGCAGGTGCCAGGCTTCCCAACAGCTCCAACCCGGGTGGTGATTGCCCGGCCCACTCCTCCACAGGCTCGGCCTTCCCATCCTGGAGGGCCCCCAGTCTCTGGGACACTGGTGAGCAAGGGTCGGGGAGTTCTAGTGCGTAACAGTCTAGGGAGAGACTCCTGTGGTGGTGCATGGAAGGGCAGGTCTGAAGTTCTCCCTTGCTCTCTATCCAGCAGGGCGCCGGTCTGGGTACCAATGCCTCGTTGGCCCAGATGGTGAGCGGCCTTGTGGGGCAGCTTCTTATGCAGCCAGTCCTTGTGGGTGAGTTTTCATTCTTCCCCACTCAGAGTTTAAACTCCTTTCCTAGTCTGCTCACTGGCACTTTCCAGTTCTTTCCATATTTTCTTGGTTCCTGCTTTCCTGGAATGGGGCTGCTGTAGTGTCTTGTGTCTTCAGGTTTCAGCTTTTTTTTTTTTTTTTTTTTTTTTTTTTGAGATGGAGTCTCACTCTGTTGCTAGGCTGGAGTGCAGTGTACAATCTTGGCTCACTGCAACCTCTGCCTCCCGGGTTCAAGTGATTCTCCTGCCTCAGCCTCCTGAGTAGCTGGGACTACAGGTGCACGCCACCACGCCCAGCTAATTTTTTATGTTTTTAGTAGAGAAGGGGGTTTCACCATGTTGGCCAGGATGGTCTCGAACTCTTGACCTTGTGATCCACCCACCTTGGCCTCCCAAAGTGCTGGGATTACAGGCTTGAGCCATCGTGCCCGGCCAGCTTTTTTCTTTTTTTTTTAAGTTACAGAGTCTTGCTCTGTCACCCAGACTGGAGTGCAGTGGTGCAATCCAGTGAGTTAAAGCTCACTGTAACCTTGAACTCCTGGGCTCAAACAGTTCTCCCACCTCAGCCTCCTGAGTAGCTAGCAGTACTAGCTCCTGGCTAGTAATTGTCTTTTTTTTTTTCTGGTAGAGATGGGGTCTTGCTATGTGGCCTAGACTCCTGGGCTCAAGCAGTTCTCATGCCTTGGCCTCCCAAAGTTGCTAGGATTACAGCCAAGAGCCACCATGCTCAGCCCAGCTTTCTTTTTTTGGTTTCTTACAGCTCAGGGGACCCCAGGTATGGCTCCACCGCCAGCCCCTGCCACTGCTTCTGCCAGTGCTGGCACCACCAACACAGCTACCACAGCTGGCCCCGCTCCTGGGGGGCCTGCCCAGCCTCCACCCACCCCTCAACCCTCCATGGCTGATCTTCAGTTCTCTCAGCTTCTGGGGAACCTGCTAGGGCCTGCAGGGCCAGGGGCTGGAGGGTCTGGTGTGGCTTCTCCCACCATCACTGTGGCGATGCCTGGTGTCCCTGCCTTTCTCCAAGGCATGACTGACTTCTTGCAGGTGAGTGGCTGGCTTGCCATTCACCTCATCTTCCTGTCCCCCGGCCCAGCCAGGCAGTGGTACCTTCTTGCCATTATATAACCACTGGGTAAGAGCCCCTAGTGACATGTTAGGGGAAGGGGCCCTAGGAATTCATTGACTCTGAACCTTTCATTTTAAAGATGAAGAAAATGAGGTTTAGAAAAAGAAAGTATAGTAATTAGTGTCACTGCTTTCTGACAACCTGTTCAGAGGAAGAGGTAGGTAAGTTGTGCTGCCTGACTCTGTTAAATACCTACCATACTTCTGCTTTAAGCAGTGAAGATCAGAATGTAACTCCCCATCTTCCCAGACCCGTTGGTTTGTGCCCTCTTGATGCCGTATTATTTCCGTGTGTCTTCATTCTCACCTCACTTTCTGTTCTTTGTTCTTTCTTTATTTGCCAGGCAACACAGACAGCCCCTCCACCACCCCCACCTCCTCCACCCCCACCACCTGCCCCAGAGCAGCAGACCATGCCCCCACCAGGCTCCCCTTCTGGTGGCGCAGGGAGTCCTGGAGGCCTGGGTCTTGAGAGCCTGTCACCGGAGTTTTTTACCTCAGTGGTGCAGGGTGTGCTCAGCTCCCTGCTGGGCTCCCTGGGGGCTCGGGCTGGCAGCAGTGAAAGTATTGCTGCCTTCATACAACGCCTCAGTGGATCCAGCAACATCTTTGAGCCTGGAGCTGATGGGGCCCTTGGTGAGCAAAAAGGATGCTTTGGCTTGCTCCAGGAAGGGGCAGCCAGAGGAATGTAGATGGCCTTGGTTTAGGGGTGTTGCCAAGGTGGGATGAGGTTGATGATCTGGTTGTGGGTGGGCAGGCCAGGTGGTAAAGGCCATTGCTAACATCTGCCCTTGTCCCCCAGGATTCTTTGGGGCCTTGCTTTCTCTTCTGTGCCAGAACTTCTCTATGGTGGACGTAGTGATGCTTCTCCATGGGCATTTCCAGCCACTACAACGGCTCCAGCCCCAGCTGCGATCCTTCTTCCACCAGCACTACCTGGGTGGTCAGGAGCCCACACCCAGTAACATCCGGGTAAATGAAGGCCAGGGGCCCCAGAACTCTCCTCTTTTGCACATTTTATTCCTTATTTCTGACTGCTTCTCTGCCAGGTAAAGCTCCAATTGCCCCCACACAAGCCCTGGACTTGTTGGGGTCGAGGTGGAAGTCTTGGGAGGACTGAGGCTTTGAACTAAACCTGTTCTGTTTCCTCCACAGATGGCAACCCACACATTGATCACGGGGCTAGAAGAGTATGTGCGGGAGAGTTTTGTGAGTAACCCTTCTCTATTCCTTTCCTCTCCTGGGTCTGGTCGAGGCAGCTGCCTCCTCCACTCCCAGTCTTATGATTCTTGATTTTGGGATCTTTGTGTTATCTTGTCTCTCAGTCCTTGGTGCAGGTTCAGCCAGGTGTGGACATCATCCGGACAAACCTGGAATTTCTCCAAGAGCAGTTTAATAGCATTGCTGCGCATGTGCTGCATTGCACAGGTCAGGGGCTGGCCAGGCGGGGGCAAGTGGGGCCTGTTGCATGTGCAGGGCTGCCACGTGCCAGCATTCCCTCCTTGTATTTTGCCCACAGATAGTGGATTTGGGGCCCGGTTGCTGGAGTTGTGTAACCAAGGCCTGTTTGAATGCCTGGCCCTAAACCTGCACTGCTTGGGGGGACAGCAGATGGAGCTTGCTGCTGTTATCAATGGCCGAATTGTAAGCACCACCTAGCCCCAGATCCTTAGCCTTTTGTTTCCTGAGGTTTCCATTCTCTGCAGTTTTCATTTTTCTTTTCTAAACTGACATTCTGTAACCTGGATCTAATCTATTTCTAAAGGTGGTTGAGGGTTTTGTGTTCTAAATCTGCTTTCTGTCCCTCAGCGTCGTATGTCTCGTGGGGTGAATCCCTCCTTGGTGAGCTGGCTGACCACTATGATGGGACTGAGGCTTCAGGTGGTACTGGAGCACATGCCTGTAGGCCCTGATGCCATTCTCAGATACGTTCGCAGGGTTGGTGATCCCCCCCAGGTAAGGGACCTGTTGGGCGATGGGGTCAGGGTACTTGAGAGAACTGGAGAGATCTGAGAGGAAGTATGGTGTTCTTTAATTTCACAGCCACTTCCTGAGGAGCCAATGGAAGTTCAGGGAGCAGAAAGAGCTTCCCCTGAGCCTCAGGTACTCTAGAGAGGGGGAGGTTGAGGGGCCAGATAATGTGGAGTGGAGGGCTGGGGGAGAAAGGTTTGGAGGCTAAAAATTCTGAAGCCTGGCTCTTCCCGCCATCTGACACCCAGCGGGAGAATGCTTCCCCAGCCCCTGGAACAACAGCAGAAGAGGCCATGTCCCGAGGTCCACCTCCTGCTCCTGAGGGGGGCTCCCGGGATGAACAGGATGGAGCTTCAGCTGAGACAGAACCTTGGGCAGCTGCAGTCCCCCCAGTAAGTGTCAGGAAGTAATCCAGTGGGTCATGGCAGCTGAAAGTCAAGGACATTACTATTTTCTCTTTTCCTCCCCAGGAATGGGTCCCTATTATCCAGCAGGACATTCAGAGCCAGCGGAAGGTGAAACCGCAGCCCCCTCTGAGTGATGCCTACCTCAGTGGTATGCCTGCCAAGAGACGCAAGGTTGGTTTTCCTCTTCCCTAAGCCTCTCTCTCTGTCCAGGTTTCCCCGTCATGCCTGGAATCAAACTATGTAGAGATGGTGGGAGCTCTTGTTATTCAGTCTCCCCTCCCCTCGTTTAATGAGGAAACTTTTTCTGGGATTCAGACTTGCTCTTGGTTGTTGCATAACCATACAGGACTTGACCTTAGTCTGTTTGCTAGCAGTCCTGTATTAGTTGCTCAGCTGCCTAATCCCCATGTGCTTAGATCCCATTTTCCTTTAAGGTGGGTTTCCTCTTGTGGATTACCTAGCTCTGAATCCCGGATGGCTTGACCCCTTCTGCCTTTCGTTTTGAAGAGCACGTTCAAGCACATTCACTTTAGTTTTGGCTAGTGCCAAAGAGAATTAGGAAGGCATTTCTGCTGTAAAAACCACATCCTGGACTCTTAATTTCCCCTCTCTCCACTAGCATGGAGACTCAGTGGAGTGGTTGACTCATGGAAAGGGTGAGCCGGATGGTGGCACTGGATCTGACGTTGATCCTCTTTTCCCTCCCAACCCCCTGTCCCCCAGACGATGCAGGGTGAGGGCCCCCAGCTGCTTCTCTCAGAGGCTGTGAGCCGGGCAGCTAAGGCAGCCGGAGCTCGGCCCCTGACGAGCCCCGAGAGCCTGAGCCGGGACCTGGAGGCACCAGAGGTTCAGGAGAGCTACAGGCAGCAGGTGCCACCTTGAAGCAGAATAGGGATGGTCTAGTGGGAGGGGTTGGGCTAGGGTCCCTCTTCCCTGGATCCCTTCAGCGATGAACTGGTCAGCCTGGTGCTACCATTTGTTTTCCCCTTTGGCATCTGGGAAGGCTTGACAGTGCCACCCCGGGCTATTTGACAGTGTGCTTGGGGGGGGGAAATGTTAGCTTCTGAGGGATGGCCTTGTGTGCTTGCTGGGATCATAGGGACTTGGCCAGCGTTTCTCCAACCTGCTTACTTTTTCTCTTTAGCTCCGGTCTGATATACAAAAACGACTGCAGGAAGACCCCAACTACAGTCCCCAGCGCTTCCCCAATGCCCAGCGGGCCTTTGCTGATGATCCTTAGCTCTTTCTTTGCTCTATGGCCCTTCCTCATCAGGGGACCGTTTCCCCCCTCTTCCTTCACAGTATTTAAGAAATAAAAGTCGGATTTTTCTGGCTGCTTTCTCTCTACATTGTCTCCATTAGGTAGTGTGTCCCTTAATCTTGTGTGAACTTTTTTAAATTAATACTTCCTTGGAACACTGTTGTGTTCTACTCAGCACGCTAAATTGTACAAGCCAGTTTTGATGTTTTTTTTTTTTTTTGAGACAGAGTATTGCTGTCTCCCAGGCTGGAGTGCAGTGGCCCGATCTCGAGCTCGGCTCACTACAACCTCCACCTCCCGGGTTCAAGTGATTCTCACTCATGCCTCAGCCTCCTGAGTAGCTGGGACTACAGGCGTCCGCCACCACGCCCGGCTAATTTTTGTATTTTTAGTAGAGACAGGGTTTCACCATATTGGCCAGGCTGGTCTCGAACTCCTGACCTTGTGATCCACCCGCCTTGGCCTCCCAAAGTGCTGGAATTACAGGCCTGGGCCACCGCGCCCAGCCTGATGTTTGTATTTTTTGTGCGAAAGCACTTTATATATAAATAAAAAACCTGTATTTTGAGTTGGGAGCATATTCCAGGTGCACACTAGCATAGAGCTCTCAAATTACCCATCAAAAAAAGTTTCTGAGCAGCTGCAGACCTAAGTATAGTCTTTAGCATAACTAGCATGCAGCGTTACCATGTGAAATCCCACTTAGTTTGACAATGCTGGAATTGGTCTATCCAATTCAAAGAGCCCCTTAAGTGTGCTCCAACATTGAGGCCTTAACAGAGATTTCCCCTTAGTTCATCATAAAGAACTGAAGTCCCATGGCTGCAAATTCTTTGCTAGTCCCTTTGAGATGCAGTTGAAGTCCCTTCTAAACCCCCCCATCCCCTACCTTGGCTAGTTTAGTGCTCTATCAACTAAGCATGGCATAAGCTTAGAAAATTCCAGCTAGACCTCTTGGAACATGAGCTCACGGACATTTAACAGGCCTGCTGGAGAGTCCATGTGAAGACACTGGTTGATAACCCAGTAATGTTACAGATGTCCCACCAAGGCCCTAGATATGCAAAGGAAGCCATATTGGGACCAGCCCAGGTGTCAGCTGCAGACTGATAACCAGTTGACCTCGCTCACTGGCACAAAAAAGCAGATTTATCCAGCTGAGCTCAGCCCAAATTCCAGACTCACAAAAATTTAAAGATCCAATACGATGGTCATGTTTTTAGTTTCAACAGCTCACTGGAATAAGTAATGAATATTTCCCTGACTGAAACTACAGATCACTCAGCACCATGCTTTAAGACAATGCAAACAACTCATCCCCCAAATCATTGTAGAAGTTTTTTTTTTTAAATCCTTTTATTACTCTTTTTTAACAAACAGCCCCAGGGACAGGGGACCAGGGGAAGGGGGAGGAGGGGAAGTGAGGCCCCAGCCCCAGAACCCCTCCCCGCCCACCCCTTTCCCCCTTATATATTTATAATCTATATACAAGCCCCGGGGGTAGGGGGCAAGAGGAACTCCCTCAGCGGGGTGGGGGCAACCCAGGCTCCTTGTCCCCTCGGGACCCAGGCTCCTCTGCCCGTCGGGAGGGCCCTTCTCGAGGTGGCGGCCCTGTCCGCTCCCAAGGCTTAGGTATCCAGCGCAGGGCATCTGGTGGGGAGGCCTAGGGGACAGGCATGTGTTAAACAGTGAGTCACAGTGAGAGGTCAGCGATGAGACGGAAGGACAGGAAATCAGGTGGCAACTCGAATTTAGAGTTGGGGCCACAAGGGTTTCTCCTTCACCTGCTGGTAAAGGTCGACGCGCTGGGTGCGGAAGACTCCACTGTAGGTGGAAGGCGTGGCCTTGAGACGGGAATTGAGGCCAGAGAAGGACCTAAGGGAAGAAGGGCGTCTAAGGCAAGCCTAGGATCCAGACCCTGGTTCCAAAGTAAGGAAGCACTTGGAAAGTCCACATCCCTATTCCGTTTCACCTTCCAGTTGGGGGAGTCCGTGATGATCCAGGTCCCCCAAGGTTGCTGCTCAGTTTTTGATAATCCTGGAACGGCTTTAGTTCCACTGGATGCAGCTGAGGGGAAAAAAATCATGAGCTGCCTACCTTGAAATACAGAATCCCTACTCCCAAGTCTTGGCGCTCCCTAGCCCCTCAGTTCCTGTACCTTACCTCTGCTCGCCCCAAGCTAGCGGGGAAGGGCCTGGCAGGTGAAGGCAGCACCCGAGTAGCAGGAGCAGGTGGGGGCCGCACAGCCAGGCTGGGGGGCTGCAGAGCAGGGCCCACAGGTAACAGAGAAAGGGAAGGTGGGGCAGGAGGTGGTGCTGGCGGCAGGGAGCCAAAGTTCACCACAGGCAGCTGTGAGTCTACCATGGGTAGAAGCATCTGTAACAAGAAATTTGGGTGTGCATGTTGGGGGCAGGGAGGAATGTCAGAAAACCAGGGAAAATCAAAGCCAGCAACTGGACAGAGAAATCAAATGAAGGGGAAGTGTGAAGATACAATATACCTGCTGGGCAGGAGCCCCTGAAGGGAGAAAGCCACTTTGGCCACCAGGCTGCAGAGGAGTAGAATAAAAATCCGAAGGGGATGGCAGATCCTGGCGTACCTGTCGGGAAACAGGGAGAAATATATCAACCCCCACAAAATCATTCTCCCTACCCTATCCCCCAATATCTAATACCTGCCCCCCTCTTACCTGAAGCAACGATGTGTCAGGCAAAGGACTGGGGCAGAAAGCCGGAGAGTAGAGGAAGGAAGGTGGAGGGTAGAGAACTCCTCCAGCCGGCAACTTCCCCAGCTCTGTAGCTTGCATTGTGGAGAAATCCAGAAACTGGCCCTTGAGAGCTACCCCAGAGAGCAGTGCTGAGGGAGGGGCTGGGCCGGGGGGTAGGTATAGGGGCTGTGATCTGAAAATAAATTGTGGGGAGAAAAGCTGTTAGGAAGCCAGAGTCCTAGCAATGCCTTAAGTCCACTAGCTTCTAGTACCCTAGAACTGTGTCTTCCCCTTCCCTCTCCCCGAAACACATCTCCAAGTACTTCTGTGATCCACAGGCATCGAGTCTTACCTGTAAGGGTGCAGTGAGGGTGTCCCAGGGCGGAAGCCTCCACTGTTTGGATGTAACTGAGAGTCCATGGCTCCCCCAGAGATCTGCAGGAGAGGAGCACGGTTGAAACAGCTTTAGTATCTGTGGTCAAGAAAAAAGATCACCATCCCACCCATAGAAGCAAAAAGTAGGGAGAAAAATGATGTGACAAAGTGGTATCTCACAACTCTGCAACGTAGAAAGGCTTGATTATAAATACATACCAGGCAGAAAAAAATTATTATTCACTGAAGGGGTCATGCAATGGGAAGCGGGGCCTACCTGAGAACTGGAAGGCCCAGCACTGCCATAGAAAACCTCAGGATACAGGCGCTGGCCTGAGGAGCTGGGCTCCGGGACACAGTGCCCAGAATCCAGGTTCTTGGATTGTGGCTCAGCAGAGGCAGCAGCACTGGGAAGCAGCTCCCAGTCTCGTGATACAGGAATGGCCTGGGAAGGAGAGGCCTCGTGGAGAGGGATGTCTGGCATCCTGGACGCCCTGGTCACTCCCAGCAATCTTCCCCAGAAATCTTGGGCCTTTCCACCAAACTCTTACTCCCACTTACCTCAGTGACTGATGCTGTTAGCTCCTTCTCTGCTTTCAAGCTGTCTCCTACCACTAGGCGTAAGTCTGAGTCCTGTGATCACAAGAAGGCAGGAGACATTGTCCCGTGACAGACATGTGTCCTCTATGTCCCACCTTTAGTCCTTCCCTTCTCTCCACCCAACTCAGGATACCCAGATCCAGCCCACACAGACCTTGTCACTAGTGCCAAACTGGACTGGGGGACCAGGTCGATGGGATGGCCGAATGGGGCCAGGCTCTGTGCCTCGGTCTGTATGCTGTGATCGTTCTGTGCCAATGGGGCCAGGGGGCAGAGGCTGCTCCCGGGGCAGCTCCTGGATTGGGCACACAGTAAAGTGCATTGGGGGAGGGAAAGGGAAATCCAAATTGGAATGCCCAGAACACACACGCAGAGAGAAAAAGCAGAAAAAGGTAGGGCCAAAGTCAGATTCCTGGAAACATTCCCCTTATCCTTTTTTGGTCTTTTACCTTTCTGTCCCCATCGTGGGGGGCAGGTGGTGGTCTCCTAGGAGGTTCAGAGCCAGGTGGACCCTCACAAGGAACAGCATTCAGGGGTGAGGAGCCTCCAGGCCTCTTGGGGGGTCCCTCTGCTGCCCCCTTGAGTCCTCCATCAGGGGAACTTCGCTGGCTGCAGGGACCTGATGACACCTGAGAATCCCCACTCAGGTCCACCCCACTGTCAGACTGACTCATCTGAGAGGAGTGGAGAAGGAGCTAGTTAAGTCAGGGTAGAAAGCACCCCAATACCTGACTGATGCACACATACAAACTGCAGAAAGGGGACAGCCAAGTGAGAGAACAGCTCCAGACTCAACCCAGAGCAGGTGGGGGGTATGACCAGTGCTCAAAAAAGTCCCAGCTCAGACACACCCTCCCACCCTCACTCACTTCTGTGCCAGCCACATCCTCAAAAGGACTCAGGGGCTCCATCCAAGGCTCCATGGAGCTGGGCCGGTAACTCTTTCGGCTAGTGGCTGGAGAAGGGAGCACCAACCAGAAGAGAAGTGAGGAGATGACAGTTCAGAAGCCCCTCTCATTCTTAACCCTTCTACCATAGTCCTTTCACTCAGCTTTACTCACCAGTATGTAAACGGTTCCAGATGTGAGGGGTCAGGGCCTCTGTGCCTGTATCTCTGGACTCTGCCTGAGGGCCTGGGCCCTCAGGCTTAGAGCCCAAGAATCCAGAGCTATGAGGAGGTGGCAAAGATTCCTACAGATGAGAAGGGCCAGAAGCAAAACATGAATTGGGTGGGAATTGGGAATTATAGGAAGCCAGGACAGAGTGGGGTGACACAGGGTGTGGGGACAACAAGGGAGACACATGGGAGACTAATACTGAGAATTCTGGAGTAAAAACACAGTGAAAGAAACAGGAAAGAGAACAGAGAAAACATAACCCAGAAGAATTTTCACGAGTAAGAGTGCAGTGAAGCACAATCTCAAACCCATCCCTTACCTCCTGTAGCAGCTCTGGTTTTCTGGGAGGCCGCTCCCGACGTTTAGGGGGAAAGGGACTAACCCCGGCAGAGTCCCGAGGAGTCCCACCCACCCCTCTCACCATTGGCCCCGGCTCCTCAAAGTGGGGGTCTGGGAAAGAGAAAAAGGGTCAGCATCTGCCTGGCTCTGCCACTGACCCTAACTTTTCCTCTCTACTCCACCTCCCAATTCTTCTACCCTTGCTCCCTGCAGAAACGCACCCAGCAGCAGGGCCCCTAGGCCAGGTTCTCCACCCGCTCCCTCCAGCACTTGACCTTCTCTGGGGATGGAGATATTCCCACCCATAACCCCTCCAGCTTACCAGAACTGAGGCCGCTGTTGACCCTCTGGGGCTCGTATCGGGTTGGGGGCCTAGGAGAGGGGCCCTGAGGGGCTTGGGGAGGCCCAGGCTTGTGCCTTGGATGACCCCCTGGTGCAGTTACACTCCCTTGACGGCTACTAAGCTGGGCCAGAGCCTGTTGGATGCCAGCAGGGTTGCTGTGGATAACTTGGTCCAGGCGGAAGACAGCAGAACTGCTGGGAGGTGGGGGAGGCAGGGGAAGCCCCGGGGGACGCTCCTCTGGAGGACGACTGGAGAAAACAGAGCATTAGCTCCAGTATCCACTAAATCGTTACTTTTTCCCACAAGTTATGTTTCCCAACTTCTGCTTACAACCTATTCTCTTCCCTATTAAAGTCCAGGTGTTTTTGAGTCCTTCTAAGGGTTCCTATGCGTACAGATGCACAGACTGGAAAGCAAAGAACCAGCAATGAATACATAGGTGGGTGTTCTTGACTCTAACACCCTACCAACCGCTTTCCAGTTGCCTTAGCCAGACATGGAAATCCTACTGACATTCTAGAGCCCATGGCCCCTCAGGCCACAATCTCCACTACACCCAAACTTATCTTTCCCTCAGGCTTTTCCCCCCTCCTCCAATTTTTAAACCACAATAAATTTGTTTGTTCCTACCCACCTTCGGTTCTTGGGAGAGGGCCAGCTCCTCTTGTCGCCTCGTCCTGGCCCGGTCCTTCCTCCAGGACCCCCACCGCCTCCTCCACTGCTGCTGCCACTGCTGCCAGCCTTGCCCCCTGGGCCAGGGCGCCGATTCTGCCGTTCCATGCCTGGCCGCTGACTTGAGAAGCTCCGTTTACTCAAATCCTTGGCTCTCTGGCTCAGATCTCCGCGGGACATGGCTGAAATACCTGGTACGGCTCCACCTCCACCTCCCCCAGGAGTTCCCACAGCCTTGGGTGTCAGCAGTACTGGTGGGGGTGCCTCTTTGTCCCCTCGGCGCTCACTGGTGAAGTCACTGCTCTCTGATGCAGTCTCCCATTCCTCATTGGCTTGGTCTGAGTTCTGGTTTGACAGATCAGGAGACTTGGCAGCTGCCCGGCGAGGTGCTGGGGCCACTGTGACTGTTGTGAGGGCCTCCTCAGGTCCAGGAGCGGAGGCTGGAAGGGTTAGGGAGGGCTTGCCCTCAGACCCCCTTGCGGCATTCTCCCGTTCCTGCTTCAGCCTCCGGAAACGAGGCGGTTTATCCTGCTGCTGAGCCCTCCCATGTCGCCTCCTTCGGGGTCGCTCCCCATCTTCCATGCCCACATTGCTACCTCCATTGCTGCCTCCGCGCGCCACAGGGGACAGAGGCCCTGGGATCAACTTCTCTTTCAAAGGCTCCTTACTTGGTGGCAAAGGGCCTGTGGGAGGTTTCTTGGGAGCCAGAGACTTGGCTGGAGGGCTCCAGCCTGGGCAAACTTGAGGAGGGGGCCTCCCTCCTCCTCGGCCCCGGCGAGATGGCACCCCTCTGGGAGTGAAGACTCGCCCACCCCGGGCAGTGAAGCGGGCTGGGGCTGGTGAAGGTGGGGCTCCTGGTGGTGGGGGAGCGAGAGGGACCTGGGTGAGTGTTCCCTCCTTGGGTGTGGGAGCCTCCTTGTCTGAAGGAGCCAGATCACTCTCATGGGTCTCGCTGCCTGTTTCTGAGCCCCGCTGCCGGCGCCGCTTGGGGATTTCCTCATACTCTGAACCCTCGCTCCGTGTCTCGCTGGCAGTGCGGCCTCGGGGAGCAGGAGGGTGGTTTGGTCCCCCTGTCCCACCTCCACGCCCATCATCTCCTCGAAACTCTCGGTAACTGCGGAATTCCCGGCTTCGGGCTCCCCGCCCTCGTCCCCCATAGGTCCCCCGAAAACCCCTCCCTCTGGCAAAATACTCGCCTCGGCCCCGACCCCGGCAAGAGGTAGGACCCACTCTTTCATACGAATAGTCCCTCCGAAGCCTTGGGGCAGGGGAAAGATTTCCATTGGGTGGGGTCTCCTTGGGGCCCCCTAGCTTCCCCTTGGTTATCTTGAGTGGGTCTGGCTTTGGGGGTTTGGGGGTTTCATCCCCCTGTTCGAGGGGCTTGGGAGGCAGCTCTTCTACTTTTGTAGGTGGTGGAGGTTTCTTTATAGGCCCAGCCCGGCGGGGTGGGGCCCCTGGCTCCTCTGGAGGGATTCCACGACGACTGCTCCCTGGACGAGGGCCCCAGCGGGTCTCTGTGCGACTCTCTCTGCGTGGTGGTGGGGGGCCCTGGCCTCCACTCCCGACTCCGCGGGCAGGCTTTCGGCCTGCTTCTGGCCCCGTCAGCTGTGCAGTCTCCTCCTTAGGGGGCTCCTTCTTGGGTGGTGGAGTTTGTATCTTGGCCACTTCATCACTGCCTGGGGGCCAGGGGAGTGGACGGGGCCCTGGTTCCTCCAGAGGAAAGCGAGAGATTGGGGGCCCAGGGGCTCCATTCTCAGGAAAGCCTGGATAACTGGCCAGATAGGGTGGTGGGGGAGGTACTGGAGGAGTCTCGCTCCTGAAGAGACAGACAGAAAGAATGGAAATAAGTATCTCAGGAAAACCAGAACTAGGTGGGAAAAGAACACTTTATTATGATGCAGACTCTCTTTTACTATTTTTCTGTTTGTTTTGGCAGAGATGGCATCCAGTTGCCGAGGCTAGTCTCGAACTGCTGGGCTCAAGCAATCTTCTTGCCTCAGCCTCCCAAAATGCTGGGATTACAGGCATGAGCCACTCCATCCAGCCTCTCCTTTCCCGTTCATCCCTATCCCTACCACTAACCCAAAGTACCTTTCTCCCAGGCCTAGATCCTTTCACTGTGAACTCACCCATTTCTCATGACCAAGACTCACCTCATCCCCTTGTCATCCTCATCCGCAGCCTGGCGCAGAGGTGAGGTAAGTGGGCGGGGTTCAGCGGGTGTGGCGGTGAAGACATCTCCCACCCAGGCCAACTTTGGATCCACCGGTGGAGTGCCCCGTTCCCGTAACATAGCAGGTGCATGACGGTCAAATGGCTCTGAGCTTGAGCCCCCACTGTCTGAACGCTCTCGGGGAACTAGGCCTGAAGAAACCAAAGAAAAAGAAAAATAATCCTATTCATGTCACAAGCCCTCCAGCCCAAAAAGCATCTCCCCTCGCGGTCAAGTCAGCTCTTCCATCTCTTGTTCCCAGTAGGTCCGGGCCTTGCCTGCTCTTATATAACAAGGTTATCCACTCAGATTCCCTACAAGAGAATCAACCCACCCCAAATAAATCCTGGCAAATGAAGGACCACTGCTTCTTTCATTCATTCATTCATTTTTGAGATGGAGTTGTGCTATTCATTCAATTCATTTTTGAGACGGAGTTTCGCTCGTTGCCTAAGCTGGAGTGCGATGGCACAATCTCGGCTCACTACAACCTCCACCTCCTGGGTTCAAGCGTTTCTCCTGCCTCAGTCTCCCGAGTAGCTGGGACTACAGGCGAGCGCCACCACGCCGGCTACTTTTTTGTATTTTTAGTAGAAATGGGGTTTCACCACGTTAGCCATGGTGGTCTCGAACTCCTGAACTCAGCTGATCTGCCCACCTCGGCCTCCCTAAGTGCTGGGATTACAGGCGTGAGCCACAATGCCTGGCCAACCACTGCTTATTTCTTAACTAAGCCCATTTTTGCAACAGAGCTATCTCAGCAGTGCTAAGCATATGCCCTTCCCTCATCACTATGATGGGCAAAACCTATCGTACCAGAATCACAGTAAGACCCTAATATCCAATGCCTAAGACTGAGGGGACTTTCCTGTTTCTCACTCCTCCCATGCCCCCTTACCAGAGGGATGCACACCAGGAGGGTAGAAGTCTAGAGGGGGACGACCCTGGAGGAGCCGGGGGTCCACATAAGGAGGAATCATCATCCATCGGGGATCAAAGTTCATTGGGGGCATGGGTGGGGGCCGGCCCAGAGCACCTGGGTACAGGGCCTTGGGGGGCGGGGGTGGAGCCTGTGGAGCTGGCACAGCCCCCAGGGTCACAGGCTGTGGTGGTGATGGGGGCACTGGGGTAGGAGGGGCAGAGCCCTGTTGATGCTGCTGCCACTGGTGCTGCTGCTGCTGCTTCAGGAGCTGCTCCTAGGAAAGGAGGAAAGACAAGATGAGAGAGGCTCAAAGCACACATGGACAAAGGAATCAGCAAAGAAAAAACTTGGACTAGGGGAAATTGGCGTGACAATGGAGACAACTGGACAAAGAAGCAAAGGGACCCAGAAGGTAACTTATGAAGAGAATTAGGGACCGAAGCCAGGAAGAAAAGCAGCCCTTAGAGGGTAAACAACTTGATTTCACCTGCTGCTGCCGCTGGAAACGAGGAGGCAACGACTTCTGATATTTGGGGTAGCCCAAGCCCTGACTAGGGGGCTGGCGGGTGGGACCAATCCCATCACCCTTGGGTTCCACCTTTGGAACTGGGGGTGTGGTAGGAGGAGGAACCTCTTCTGGTGGTTCAGGACCCTCTTTTGAGGGCAGTTGTGGTTCCACTGCATCGGAAAAAACACAACAGAGTGATCTAGTCCAACAATAGACACTCCATGAACACCCCAGGAATCTCACGTCTCATCTCTAGCTCCCTTAAGACTAAAATATTCTATTCAACATCTATTCTATTGAAGCCCCTCCCATTTAAGACCCATTAAAGCACTTCATGGCCTCTCATGAGCCTATGGTGGTGGCATTAACTTTCTATGAAACCATTAGAACAACAGTACTTTCTTCAGTCTTGGCCTATAGGAAATAGTTTTCATTTTTATTTATGTATTTCTTGTGAGACAGGATTTTTTTTTGAGACAGAGTCTTGCTCTGTCACCCAGGCTGGAGTGCAATGGCATGGTCTTGGCTCACAGAAATCTCTGCCTCCCGGGTTAAAGCGATTCTACTACCTCAGCCTCCCAAGCAGCTGGGACTACAAGCACATGCCACCACACTTGGCTAATTTTTGTATTTTTAGTAGAGACGGGTTTCACTATGTTGGCCAGGCTGATCTTGAACTCCTGACCTCATGTTCTGCCCGCCTCGGCCTCCCAGAGTGCTGGGATTACAAGTGTGAGCCACCATGCCTGGCCGACAGGGTCTTGCTTTGTTGCCCAGGCTGGTCTCAAACTCCCTAGGCTCAAGCGATCCTCCACCCCAAGCCTCCCTAAGTGTTGGGATTATAGGCGTGAGCTACAGTACTCTGCCAAGAAATGGTATTAGACTACAACCTAAGATTCCAGACAAAACCTTCCCTCCTTCAGATATACAAATGATAGAACACTATCACTGATAGTCCAATAAACCAAAACAACTGCCTTCTACTTCATTTATCCCCAGCCTTACCACCCTGCACCTTTAAGCACCTTGAAGCAGTGATCTGACATCTGGTAGTACCTATCCCCATCTCCATACCTGGGCTGGCTTCGAAGCTGCCACTGCTGGTGCTACTGGTACTGCCACCACCACTCACCAGAGTGGGAGCCGCAGCCACACCTGGAGTAGGAGTAGATTGGGCAGGAGGGGCCTGTGCTGGCTCTTCAGGTTCTTTCTCTGGTGTTGGGGCTGATGCTGGAGGTGGAGCTGGAGGTGCAGGGAGTTCTTTAGGGACTGCAGGTGGTGGAGCTGGGGTAGAAGGGGCAGCAGGTGGGGCAGCAGGCTCTGCTTTGAGCCGCTTGTCAGGTGCCCCAAACTTTTCATCGAGTCGCTTGAGCTTCTCAGCACAGGCTGCCCGGCGCTCTTCTTGCATGCGCCGCTCCTCTTCTTCTCGCCGTCGCCGGGCCCGCTCCACTGCCAGGGAAATCTCAGATGACGACTGCTTTCGTCGCTGCCGCCATGCCTCATCCTCATCTTCAGGTGCTGGGGGCTTGCAGGGAGGACCCCCACGATCCTGTCAATTGGCAAGACCCAGCAGGGCCAGGGGAATCAGTTACTATGCTTTCTATCATCTCTTTTACAACAAATCAACTGTCGCTACTTGCAGGATGCAACGACCCAGGCTTTGGGGTTGATCTCTCTGGGTGGTGACAAACTCATTATCCTGGTCTTCTTTGAGACCACGTCTTGCTATGTTGCCCAGGCTGGTCTTGAACTTGGGCTCAAGTGATCCTTCTGCTTCAGCCTGCTGAGTAGCTTGGACTACTGATGCATACTAACAGATCCAGCTATCTAGCCACCCTAGTCTTTTTATTTTTCTGTTCCCTCTCTCCTTCCGAAACCCAAACACCCAGGGCTCCTTTTTCTTCTTTCCTCATTAGCATCCCAGTTTCTCACTTCTTACCCAGACTCCCCTATTACCAAAGATATTTAAAAGCTTCCCAGGATGTTCTGCAGCCTGGCACTTCACACAGCCCATTTTTAGCACCCCCCTTCCTCTATATCACAACCGCTTCAATTACTCAGCTGACACCAATTTCCCACAGCTGACCCTCTCAATCCCTTATTGGAGACACTCACTGGGTAGTCCCCAGGGGGGCCCCAGTTCCCGGCGGGGCCCCGGTGAGGTGGGGGTAGGGGAGGCTTTGGGGCAGGAGGTCCCGGCTCTGTCTCTGGAGGCCGAGAGGTTTCTGCCCAGGCCGTCTTAGGAGTGGGCGGTTCGCTGTTGGGGGAGTTGCCCTTTTTGCCATCTGCTTCAGGGGGCCGTTCCTCACCAGAAGCTGATTGGGAATCCCTGCTGTGAGCAGATCAACAGTGAAATTAAAATCAGCTGCAACTAATATACTCCTCTAAGAGTATATTACCAAAATACAAACCAAGACCCCCTCCTCTTCTCCCCTGATGGCCCTAACTCACTGGCCCTCAGCTCCCTCCTCATCAGAGTCTCGCCCATCTTCCTCATCGCTGAACTTGAGCTTTTCAGTGTAGTCAACCTCTTCATGGGCCCCTGAGGGGAAATATGAGTATTAGTAACCCAAGCATTCTGCCCTCCAATCTTGGGAGGTAGTCTGGAACTATGTAACAAGATGGACTACCAATGCCAATATCCTTCCCTCCGAAGTCTAGATCCACCAATGAAGTCTTGTCATTCTTACTCCTCTCACCACTTTGCAAGGACTTGGTATTCCCCATCCATCCTCCCCTACTCTTTTTTTTTTTTCCTTTTAAAAGTCTCGCTCTGTTGCCCAGGATGGAGTTCAGTGGCACGATCATAGCTCACTGTGACCTCCAACTCCTGGGCTCAACTGATCCTCCCACCACAACCTCC
Organism: Homo sapiens; assembly: GCF_000001405.40. Taxonomy (NCBI): domain Eukaryota; kingdom Metazoa; phylum Chordata; class Mammalia; order Primates; family Hominidae; genus Homo; species Homo sapiens. The sequence goes on along the minus strand of NT_167249.2, from coordinate 2,925,730 downwards.
AGAGTAGCTGGGACCACAGATGCACAGTCCACACCCAACTAAAAAATTTTTTTTTTTTTGTAGAGGTGGGGGGTCTTGCTGTGTTGCCCAGGCTGGTCTTGAACTCCTGGCTTCAAGCGATCCTCTCACCTAACACTCCCAAAGCACTGGGATTACAGATGTGAGCCATTGGGCCTGGTCTTCCTACACTTCAATGTCTGCCTTTCACCCACATAACCCTGTATTTTTTTTTCCTCATTAGGTTTTGCCTTTCAAGATCCAAATTCTTGACCCTTAATATCCACTTACCTGCCCAACCATCATCATTCTCCTGATCCAACTGATCAAACTCTTTGAGATTATCCTCTTTGAGAATAGAGGGACGACCCACAGGCTCTACTAAGCGCATTGGTGGCCCTGAGCCTCGGGGGCCCGCCACACGGGGAAAACGGCTGTACACAAAAAAGAAAATGAAATATGGCATGTTGTATAACCACATGCGAGACTGATCCTAGACTGAGCCTCCTGGCTAGAAAACCATCTCCTCCCCCAATAAGCTTCCCCTGCCCCCAGCCACAAACCCAGACCTGGATTGCTCACCTGGGCCCATCAGGAGTGGGGTATCGGTAAGGCCCCTGGGGTCCATAGGGCGGAGGGAACGGGAGATATGGGGGATACATCTGTAAAAGGGTCCAACAGTAGCTGCTCAGAGGGACAGTCATATACCCTTCTAGCTCCTTAAGCCTGCTATCAATCATCCTCCCACCCTCCCTTCTATCTCATAGGTCAAAGACTAAGTCCTGATTCCTAGCTCTCCAGCTTCCAGTGTAATCGTTCCAAGACAAGACACCAAGACTCACGAAAGGCGGCATCATTCCGCGGTAGGGAGGGAACTGGGGTGGGCCTGAAGGCTGTAGCCCACCCCGGGGATCATGACCATGATGAAGTTTGGAGTCCGGGCCCTCCAGCTCATCAGGGCCACGCCCACCTCCGTCCCTCCAAGTTGTAGAATCTGTATTTTGGAAAAGGTAGAGAGAGGTATCAATGATTGGAGGACAAGTGAACACAGCTGAAAGTGATGGGGAGGAAGGTGAATAAGCCAGCACCTAGCTCTGAGATGCAATAGGTAATGTCTTGGCCAAAAGGCAGCCACTCACTTTGGGGGCGGAGGCTTGGTCCGGGCCCAGACGACTGTTCGGCAGACTCCCTTTCCTTGGCAGCCTTGTCCTGGTCGCCAGCCGCCTGCAGGGTCGGAAATTCCTCTCGAGAGAATCGTGACAGTAGGCTTGATGCCCTTCCACCTATTAGGATGGGGATGCAGAACAGGAGACAGAAGACATTTCCTGAGGACATGCTATAAAAGTGGAAGACTCTGGCTGGGCGCGGTGGCTCACGCCTGTAATCCCAGCACTCTGGGAGGCTGAGGCGGGCGGATCACGAGGTCAAGAGATCGAGACCATCCTGGCCAACATGTGAAACCCCATCTCTACTAAAAACACACAAAAAATTAGCTGGGTGTGTTGGCGTGTGCCTGTAGTCCCGCTACTCTGGAGGCTGAGGCAGGAAAATCGCTTGAACCCAGGAGGCAGAGGTTGCAGTGAGCCGAGATTGCACCACTGCACTCCAGCCTGGGTGACAGAATGAGACTCCGTCTCAAAAAAAAAAAAAGTGGAAGGCTCTGACAGGTACCAGACCATCAGGTTTCCCGCCTTCAAACTCACCCCGCTACAGAATAACTGCTTATTCCCCAAGGAGGTCAGTTCTGGCACCACTACACTCCATCATATAAGACTGAGACTTAAACTTGCTCATGTGCCTCCATGAAACTGAATATGGGTGGTCCTTGATTTAGCCAAAGAGGACCAAGGTCACTTGGCTGAAAATACAGTGCAGGGTTCATGCATCCCATGGTGCCCAGACACAGCTCCCCAATTAAGTGCTGCACTCACCATCTCCATGTGCTCCATGGGTGACGCTGGCTTGTGCCCAGGACTTTACCCCGCTTGGAACCAAAGGAGTGTTCTGGGGAAGTGTTCAGAAAGATGATAAATGATGTGGGTGGGGCAGCTATGAACCATTCTTCCTCCCCACCCCTCCAGTTCTCCAGGTACCTCGGGGGCTGCTGGGGGTCGTTTCGGCTGGTTGGAGGCAGGCGTCTGTGAAGCCGGCAGTGGCTGCGATTCCGGCGGCTGAGCGGTTGAGGCATCGGAACTGAGGGGACAGAATGGGAAGGTTATTCACACCTGAGATGCCTCCCTGACTTCTCCAACTGGTGGAGACTCAGGACTGAAATCATGCCCATTGCTACCATTTACAAATATAAGGACAAAATAATTTTGTCATCCTTTGTAGGCTGTTGTCTATTTTTTCATGCTCTCTCTCCAAGACAAAAAGCTAAAGTTTAGTACCATTCCTTAGTCATTTAACAAGGAACCTGCAACAGGTAAGAAAGGGACCTCTTCGTCTCTGGCTCAGACGTGGCTGGACTAAACCAAGCCCCAATGCTCCCTGAAGTTCAAGTTAAAATACCCATCACTCTAGGTCCCCCAAGCCTCTGTCTACCTCTTGGGGTCGGACTGCTCCTGTTTGCTTGCCCATCCTGTTCCGTCTTTTGGCACTAGTGAGACATTGGGGTCATTGCCTTTGTTCTCGGCTTTCAGGCTTGGAAGGTTGGCTGGAGGTGGCATACGCCGGGCAATGGCAACTTTCCCGAGACTCTGCAGGCCATGGCGAGGGGCAACTGGAGAACAAGACGGAGAGAGGGTCGAAAATGCCTCATGTGGGAGATCTGATGGCCTCCTATCCTGGGACACATTTATACATGTTGAATATTTTATTACCTACTTCCTCCAAACTTCTCTTAGAAGGGATTCCTTCCCCTGCCCTTAATAATCTCTGAAATCGCGCTGATTGTGGTGGCTCACACTTTGCAATCCCAGCACTTTGGCAGGCCGAGGCAGGCGGATCACCTGAGGTCAGGAGTTCAAGACCAGCTTGACCAAAATGGAGAAACCCTGTCTCTACTAAAAATACAAAATTAGCCGGGTGTGGTGGCGCATGCCTGTAATCCCAGCTACTCAGGAGGCTGAGGCAGGATAATCGCTTAAACCCAGGAGGTGGAGGTTGTGGTAAGTCAAGATCACACCATTGCACTCCAGCCTGGGCAACAGGAGCTAAACTTGGTCTCAAAAAAAAAAAAAAAAAAAAAAAAAATCTATGAAATCCCTATCAAGAAGGCTGAGATATGTAACATTCAATACTTTTATGTGAGATTGGTTGATCATGAGCCTGCAAGAAGCAAGCTGGCCTCAAAGTTTCCCAAATCCACATTTATTTTCCTCCAATTCTTACGTGTCCAAAGACAGGGAACCACAGACACGCCTTTGTAGGAGGATAACTGGTGTTCACCCAGAGCCCACACCCCCTTTAAAGGACCCAGTGTAAAGTTGGGAAATCTCCTCTAGTCTTTTGGTATTTCTACTACAGCCACTTCCCTTTAAAGAGCTCTAAAACGTATGCCCCATGCATGCCTAGCTTTCAACCATCAGAAGCATCTTTGCAGGACTCTCACCAGCGGGTTTCTGGATCTCTAAGGACTTGCCCTTATACGTATCAAACAGGTTGAGCGAGGAATACTTCTTTCCATCCTTTCCCTTGGCAGTCGGCCCCGAGCGATCGGACATTGCGCTGGAAGCTCATTGAGTATGTTGGGTCCTGCAGGCACCTCCCCCAAAACGTGCCAGAGCCTGTGGGCCAGACAGCAAGTGTCTCAGTCTCTGTCCCCTGTACAGACCATAACAGAAACTTAAAAACTCCATTGCATTATCATTAGGGACTCAGATATGAGGCCCTCTGGTGTCTTTTCCTCCAGTCTATGTAAACTGCCCACTCTTCTTAAGCAACCATGATCTACTTAGCTCCCTCATAGCTCAAATGCCATGTTCCCTCCTTTCCCCCAGACACCTTTGTCAAGGAAATCTAAGTAAAAATCCAGCATCCTCCTAGTATAAACACTCTGCCCTTTGTGCCTGTCTACAAAGAGTAATTCCCTACAAGTAATAATCTCTTCTCTCTCCACCAAAATCGTTTCAGAGACTTACAACAGGACAAATTCAAGCAAGAGAAAACTAAAAAAGAAGCATACAATTCCATCAGAGAAGAAGAAACAACACTTTAGATTCCCTGTTTATTGGACACAAGCTCCCTAATCATGCCCCCAGGGCCCTGTACCCCAGGCTCCCAGCCCAGCAGCCTCGTGTCCATCTGGGAAGGTTTGCAGGAAGGTATGCTGGGAGTTTAAGGATTTTATGAGCTTGCTCAGCCGGAATGGGGGTTGGTACCAGAGAAATCCTCATAGAACAACTAGGGCTGTACATACTCCCAGGCTATAGGAACCTCAAGTATTTGAAATATCCCATCTTTTCCTAAACTTGCTCCTGTATTGGCTCCTGGAAAAAATCGCCTCCAGATGAAATACTGTTTTACCATATGAAGAACTGAGAAAAAGCATTATGGAGCCACCTTAGCACCCTGTAACCATGGGCCAGAAAACAGAGGGCCAAGGCCAGAGCCATCTTCGTTTTCCTATCCTCATTAAAAATGTCCATCACCAGTGTTTCTTTACTCGATACCTCCAGCTCCCTAAGCAAGCCGGACGACAGGTCTCTCAGTCCATTCCAGAGTGACCAGGCATTCGTTTATGGACGGGAACAGTGTAAAGAGATGAGAAATAGTGGGGAAGAAAGCAGGGAAATCCAGACAGGCCCAGAATGAAAGCTAAAATTGGGGAGAAAGAACTTTATGACAAGCTAGAGATAAGATGGATGTTGCTTCGTAGGTGTTTGAGGAGGCCAATCTGTGAAGATAAATATATGAAGGGAAAACGAATACAAGAGTCATGTAGCGAATAGACCAAAACTAACAGAAAATAATGAATACGAAAGCAGGTGGAAAATATATGGAAACAGGAATGGCAAAAAAAAAAACGATGTAGACAACGAAGTAAGGGGGCAGAGGCCCAAGAAGAAAAACGGGGTTGGGGGAGAAAGGAGACGAGGAACAGGAAAAATGAAAAAGCAGACATAGGGCGACTGAGCAACATAGAAAGCAAAGATGCTGGGATAAAAGCAGGATTCTAGAGTGGGAGTGGCTCGACACGAAGAGGGGCGTCCAGAGGGGGGAACACAGCGCTGGATGATAGGAGGGGGTCCAATATGGAGGAAAAGCGCCCTTCCGAGAGAACCGTCGGGCGCGGCCCACCACGGGGCGGCAGCCGGGGAGGGGGCCCACAAATGGGGGTGAAAAGCCAGGAGCGCAGCGGAGGGTAGGGAGTTACGGACCCAGGCGCAGGGGTCACCCCCTGAAGCCAAGACGGTGGGTGGTTAGGGGCAGACTACGGATCCTGAATGAACTGCCGGAGGTGCGGGTCCCGGAGTAGAGGTACCGGAGGGGGAGGGGCAAGCAGGCCCGGCAGCAGGAGGACAAAATGGCGGCGGCTAATGGCAGCTTCTCCTCCCCCCGGCCCACCACCGCCGCCGCCGCCGCCACCGCCACCGCCACCACCTCTCCCGCGCCGGAAAAGGGCGTCAGCGCACGGTTCACCCAGACTCACCTGGCCGGGTGCGCGGGGATCCGGGACCCGGGCCTAGGGGCTCCCCGGGACGGGATGGCGGTGGGGCGGGGGAGGATGGCGGCGGATGGCGCCGGGTTCGGCTCCTCCCGTCTCCCTCGCTCACTCCGCGGCTGAGCCCCGACTAACGGCCCATCCGGGCAACCGCCGCCCCCGGGAGCACCCCCTCCCACCTCCCACCTCCCTCCGCGCCTAGACACGCCCCTTAATTTGCATAAAGGGCGGGGCACTTTCTACCCTAACCCTCTACTTCCAGGGCTGTCTTTAGTTTAAAAAAAAAAAAAAAAAGGGCCGGGCGCGCGGAGCATGCGGAGGTTATTTGCATAAAGAGGAGGGACTTAAGGGCACTAGGACCCCGATTGGCTAAGGAGGCGGGCCCCCAGCGTCGGCCGTTGAGCCGTGTTGAGGGGGCGGGAATGCGGTGCAGGTCGGCTGGGCGGTTGGGACGCAGAATTTACACGACGAATGTGGGAGAAAGAGGCGGAGCGTGCGTCGGACGTTAGTAGAAAGATGGGAGCGGAGAGACGTTGGGACGCCAAAAGTGGAAGGCAACGACACACGGCCCGTGGCGCCTTCAGCTAGGGAGAAAGAGAGAGAGGACGGGGGCTGGCGGGCGGGATTAGCTGCCGGAGGGCTGAGTTTCCGCAGGCCTGGTAAGAGTTCCAGCTCTCGCATCCCTTTGCCGTGAGTTTGAGGAGGTGGTTGGAGCGGGGAAATGCACCAGAGGGGCGGGGCCTTCCAGTTATTATATTACGTCATGCAAATGAGGTGGCTAGACAGACCAATCCAAAGGCCCCGGGAAGCGTTTCGTCCGCACCACGCAGCGTAGGCATTCTTCGGGCAGTTCTACCTATTTGCATAATGTATGCAAATCATTTGAACAAAGATAGGCTAGGAATGACTCGTTCATCAAAATATGGGCAACCATCGACTAAGACGGACATTTAATTTTATAACCTATAATTTTCATGAATAAATTTTTATATTTGAAATTATTGGGAATTTGTAATTTCTTAACAATGGGTTTCATTTTGTGAAATGCAGTACTGTTACCCTCCTTTGTCTCTTACTACCCGATTCTAGAACTCTCTGCTCCCATCAGAGTTATACCCATTCAACAGATCATTCAATGACTATGATTTGAAGGCGCTGGAGATAATGCACAGGATATTATAGAAGTAGAGAAATAAGGCCTGGCGCGGTGGCTCACGCCTGTAATCCCAGCACTTTGGGAGGCCTAGGCAGGTGGATCACGAGATCAGGAGTTCAAGACCAGCCTGGCCAACATGATGAAACCCCATTTCTACTAAAAATACAAAAATTTGCCCTACGTGGTGGCGGGCGCCTGTAATCCCAACTACTCGGGAAGCTGAGGCAGAGAATTCCTTGAACCAGGGAGGCGGAGGTTGCACTCCAGCCTGGGTGACAGAGCAAGACTACGTCTCAAAAAAAAAAAAAAAAAAAAAAAAAGAAGGATGGGCGCGGTGGCTCACGCCTGTAATCCCAGCACTTTGGGAGGCTCAGGCGGGCGGGTCACCTGAGGTCACGAGTTCGAGACCAGCCTGACCAACATGGAGAAACCCCGTCTCTACTAAAAATACAATTACCCAGGCGTGGTGGCGCATGCCTATGATCCCAGCTACTCGGGAGGCTGAGTCGGGAGAATCGCTTGAACCTGGGAGGCGGAGGTTGTGGTGAGGCAAGATCGTGCCATTGCACTCCAGCCTGGGCAACAAGAGCGAAACTCTATCTCAAAAAAAAAAAAAAAAGAAAGAAGTAGAGAAATAAAATATGATTATGCCTGGGGTGATTGAGAAATGTTTCTAGAAAAACTCTTATTAAGAGATATGAGGCCGGGCGTGGTGGCTTATGCCTGTAGTCCTGGCACTTTGGGAGGCTGAGGCGGGCAGATCACAAGGTCAAGAAATGGAGACCATCCTGGCCAACATGGCAAAACCCCGTCTCTACTAAAAATACAAAAATTAGCTGGACTGGTGGCGCGTGCCTGTAGTCTCAGCTACTTGGGAGGCTGAGGCAGGAGAATCGCTTGAACCTGGGAGACGGAGGTTGCAGTGAGCTGAGATCACGCCACTGCACTCCAGCCTAGCGACAGAGTGAGACTACGTCTCAAAAAAAAAAAAAAAAGAAAAAGAAAAAAAGGCCGGGAGCGGGAGCAGTGGCTCACGCCTGTAATCCCAGCACTTTGAGAGGCCAAGGTGGGTGGGTCACCTGAGGTCAGGAGTTGGAGACCAGCCTGGCCAACATGAGACTCCATCTCAGGAAAAAAAAAAAAAAATGATATGAAGAATGATCGGAGTAGATATCTGTCAAAAATATATAAATAAATAGATATGAAGAACGAGTTAGAACTTACCCAAGTTTCAGAAGAAGGTGTACATCTCAGGTGCAGAGAACAGATTAGTGGAGGCATGAGTTTGGGGGCCTGTGCCTAGGCTGATATGGCTAAATAAAGGAGGCGGCTTATTCATTATGAAAAGTGAAGGCAGAAAAGTTTGCAGAAATCAGATGAGAATTTTAGTCAGAGGCTCAGTAAGATTTAAGATGACTTCTGTTTTCAAACTTCCAAAATGATTCTCTTCTCCCTTCTCCCCGGCCGGCTACCACACATACCGTTTTGTTACCCTTTGCAGCAAAATTCTTAAAAGGGATGTCCATAGTCATTGTCTCCAATGAGTTTCTCCTTCCAGTCTTTTTTTTTTTTTTTTTTTTTTTTTTGAGACAGAGTCTCACTCTTGTCACCCAGGCTGGAGTGCCATGGCGTGATCTCGGCTCACCGCAACCTCCACCTCCCGGGTTCAAGCGATTCTCCTGCCTCAGTCTCCCGAGTAGCTGGGATTACAGGCACCTGCCACCATGCCCAGCTAATTTTTTGTATTTTAGTAGAGATGGGGTTTCACCATGTTGGCCAGGCTGGTCTCCAACTCCTGATTTCAGGTAATCTGCCCGCTTCGGCCTCCTGAAGTGCTGGGATTACAGGCGTGAGCCACCACGCCCAGCTGTAAATTCTTTGCTTTATTTAATAGCACCAGTTCTTTCATTCATCTACCCATTCAAGTGTTTTTTGTTTGTTTGTATGTTCGGTTTTTTTTTTTTTGAGACGGAGTTCGCTTTTTAGTTGCCCAGGCTGGAGTGCAATGATGCGATCTCGGATCACCACAACCTCCACCTCCTGGGTTCAAGAGATTCTCCTGCCTCAGCTTCCCAAGTAGCTGGGATTACAGGCATGCGCCACCACACCAGGCTAATTTTGTATTTTTAGTAGAGACGGGGTTTCTTCATGTTCGTCAGGCTGGTCTCGAACTCCTGACCTCAGGTGATCTGCCCACCCCATCCTCCCAAAGTGCTGGGATTACAGGCATAAGCCATCGGCCCCGGCTCATTCAAGTTTTAAACATTATTGAGGGCTTATGATATGTCAGGCACAATAGCATAGGTCACTTTATCCCCATTTTTAGAAAAAAGCCTCACAGAGGCTGAGTGATTTGTCAAAGTGACAAAGCTTATAGTGGTGGAGAATGTTGGTTCATGGTATTCCTTGCTCTTCATGAAATCTGTCATGGGCCTGAGTACCTTGTTTGGACATGTGTTTTTGTCCTGCCTGCATTCTTTGAGGTTAAGGCTGTCTTACACAGCTGGAATCCCCCTTGGTGCGTGAAACCATCTGCTGTAGTGGACACACTATAGCGTTGTTGATGGATTGTTCATATGGCCAAATCCTTGCCACCTTTCCCTCAAGACCTGTCTCTCCTTCCCAAACCCAGGAAAAAAATCACCCAAATAAAAACTAAGCTGACTTGATCTGGAGGAGGGGGTAATTTATTTAATTTGTTGACTCTGGCTTACAATTTTGTCTTCTGTTTCCATATCTGGGTCATTAGAAGCCCCTTCAATCCCATCATCCCTTTTCCCTTCAAATCAGGGCAACTCAGAGATAGCTTTCTTGGCTGGGGGGCCTGTTGGCTTTTCCTTTTCTCTCGCTTTTTCCTCATACATCAGGATCCTGGTTGAGATGGGAAGAGGCACAGGGATCAGGGAACACTCCTCTCAAGGGAATAAATCATAGGGTGCTAGGAAAGGCTAGAAGGGGATGGGGATGTGAGGGTGGAAGGGGGAAGAGGAAGGGCAGGGGTTGGAGTTTCTGGGGACCAGGACTATGGATAGGGATGGGGTCGGGACCTTGGAAGGGTCCCTCTAAGGATGGAAGAAGGGATGATGGGCAACGTGTAGAAATGTTGAGCCTGTGGACAAGGGTAGGGATGGGGGAGGAGAAAACAGGTAAGTACAGGGGAGGTTGGAAATTGACACTCACATTTTTAGGATGGCAGATCTCTTGCCCAGCATCATCCTGAGAAAGTCAGGGTAGCTGAACGTCTCCCCGGAGCCACTGGACACCTCTCCAATTAATTTCTTTAGCTCTAGGTGAGTCTTGGGGACTCCAAGTTTCTCCAGCATTCGTTTCAGGGACATGATATCTGGGGGCAGAGGATGGGGATGGGGAGAAGGTGGGGAGACCCTCTCTCTCCTCTCCCACTTCCGCATCCCCATTCTCCTTCCTCCCACTGTGGTAGGTGGGCCCCCTCCCAAATCATGAGGAATGGAGCATGTAGGAGAGACCTCTGTCTTCTTAGGCCTGCACACCACCCTGCCCCCGCAAATCACCCGTTTCTCACCAATATCGCCATTTCCATTAAGGTCAAACTCCATGTATTTCTCTGGGTGAGGGGAGAGAGCAGAAGGGATAAGCGCTGACTGGAGGGTTTTCAGCAGGGGACTGAGGAAGGGGTTGCCAACCAACTGCTAGGTGGAGGAGACAACGTGGAAGGAGGAGGAGGGGCAGGCAGAGGAAGTGGGGTTGGGGAGTTGAGGGGCCCCGCTAGGGTGTAAGGAGCTAGAGGGGATGCTGAGAGAGGCAGGCCCGGGAAAGGGACCGCAGTGTGGCAGGAGGGCAATAAAGGCAGGTTCCCCTTTTGCTACCACAAAAGTAAACTTTTTATCTCTGCTGTTCCTGCCTTGTTCTTGTGGAAATCCTAACCCTCCTACCCCCAGCCCTGTCTCCACCGCCTACAGTTTCCCCCTCACCTTTGAAGCCTTCCAGTTTGGAGGGCAGATCCTCATCACTGCTATATTTGGGATCGTCTAGGAATTGCTATGGAGGGGAAAATAAGAGCCAGGGTAGGCCCTCCCCATCCACGCCCCATCCCCCTGGCTCTGCCCCCTTAGTTCTTCCTTCTACCTTGTTGATCTCATCCAGCCTCTCTTCCTGCTGGGCCTTCAGCAGTCCGAAAGCTTTTCCTCCTGTGGGGTGAAAAAAATTAATCAGCCCTCATCCCTCCCTTCCTCTCCTTACCCTGACACCAGCCCGGGCTACCCTAGGCCAGCTGACTGCCCTCCTAGCCCACAGCCCAGGTCTGTCCATCTCATTCCTCCGATCTAATGCCGCTGCCTATCCCACCCTCCCTACCCTGTAAATCCCTGGTTTGGCTCATAGCTCAGCAGATGCTGGTAGAGGTGGGGAGACAGACCAAGCTGGAGGCCTCTGTCTGCAGGCTCTCCTTCTCTCCCACCAGTCTTCTCAGAAGCCTTCCTCCCAAACTTCCCCTTTCCCCTCATTCCTTCCTCCTCTGCCTCCCAGACCTCACTTCCCCATCAGGTTCTGCTGACACTAGCACCCCAGGAAGGAGGGGGAGCCTGGTGTGAAATGCAGATTAGAAAATAACATTCTCCCAAATTCCTCTTAAATGAGAGCCCAGTGTGCGCATGAAACAAATATTTTGATAAGCCACTGGAGGTGTGCAGGAAGGGCAGGAAGACACCAGGGATATTTATTCTCAGGAACTAGTATTTTTGAACAGGTCCAAGGTTCAGGTAATGATAAGACCTTGCATTTTGTCAGGTTTCATGAGTCTGGGCAGGCAGCTGTGGATAGGAAGACAAGGAAGGGCTGGCTGAATTTTTCTGCTCTGTAGATCGGAGAAGAATCTGAAGTCTGCTGGCAGCTCCAGGAGGGTGACAAGATGGGCACAGGGTTTAGAAAGGGAGAGAAACCTCACTCCCAGCCTGGCAGCTCCAAGGAGGCCCTTAAAAATATGGAAATGTCTAACAAAACATTTTAATTTGTTTGCTTTAGAATGTGCAACGTAACCCTCTCATCTTATCTCCTTTGAAATCTTTAGTAAAATCTATAGAGATCAGGAATTTAAGAGTTTAAGTAGATTCTTTGGAGGAACTGAAAGTGGTACTTAAAGAAACAGCGTTTGTGGACAGAAGAGCCAGGGAGTGAGGCTGACATCAGGTTTGCACACTGCGCGTGCGTGCACACATGCAGGCATGTTTGTGTGATGGTGGTGCTGGTCACTGTGGGTTCAACAGAGTGGATGATAGCCTCTGACACATGCCTCCCTAGGCATAACCTTTATCCCCTCTGTCACTCTGTTTGGCCAGTCGCTTCTTGGAGAGGTGAGGACAGCACATTTCCCTCATTGAGATTTCCTGGTCCAAACTCCCTGCCCAGGGCTCCATCTACCCTGCCCCGGCATTGATGAAGACACCTTTCCTTCTCCCTTCCCCGCAACATATTTCCTTTTCTGTAGCTGGGAGTTTTCACTTCTCACTGCCCTCTCCCTGACCCAAGCCAGGTAGGGGAGATGCTGGAGTGGCCTCTGGCTGCTGCTGCTGCTTTTTTTTTTTTTTTGAGTCGGAGTCTTGCTCTGTCGCCCAGGCGGGAGTGCAATGGTGCAATCTCGGCTCACTGCAACCACTGCCTCCTGGGTTCAAGCAATTCTCCTACCTCAGCCTCCTGAGTAGCTGGGACTACAGGCGCCCACCACCACGCCCAGCTAATTTTTGTATTTTTAGTACAGATGGGGTTTCGCCATGTTGGCCAGGATGGTCTCTATCTCTTGACCTTGTGATCCACCCACCTCAGCCTCCCAAAGTGCTGGGATTACAGGCATGAGCCACTGCACCTGGCTGGACTCTGGCTTCTTGACTTCCCTTTATTGCAGCTACATTCTCCTGCTGCAGAGAGAGCTGCAACCCTGTACTCCCAATGTTCTCAGTGCCTGCTGGGAGGAACTCACTTCTTTATTCATACGTTCACTCAACAGATATTTACTGAATGCTTACTATATGCCAGACATGCCTCTAGGCCCAGAGAACCCAACAAATGAAAACTCTTGTCTTCATGGTTGATCTAATTGGGGAAGGCAGACAATACAAATAAATAAGTATATTAAAGGTGCTAGGTGGCCAGGCGCAGTGGCTCACGCCTGTAATCACAGCACTTTGGGAGGCTGGGGCAGGCGGATCACAAGGTCAGGAGTTGGAGACCAGCCTGACCAACATGGTGAAACCCCATCTCTACTAAAAATACAAAAATTAGCAGGGCCTGGTGGTGCGTGCCTGTAATCCCAGCTGCTCAGGAGGCTGACGCAGGCGAATCGCTTAAACCCGGGAGGCAGAGGTTGCAGTGAGCTGAGATCGCGCCATTGCACTCCAGCCTGGGCAACAGAGTGAGACTCCGTCTCAAAAAAAAAAAAAAAAAAAAAAAAAAGGCGCCAGGTGCCTATGGAGGAAAACAAAGTAGGGAAGAGGGGACATAGGAGTATTATTGCCAATGGTCCCCAGTTTTTTGTTTTTTGTTTTTTGTTTTTTTTTTAAACGGAGTCTCACTCTGTCGCCCAGGCTAGAGTGCAATGGCTTGATCTCAGCTCACTGTAACCTCCGCCTCCTGGGTTCAAGCGATTCTCCTGCCTCAGCCTTCCGAGTAGCTGGGATTACAGCCACCTGCCATCATACCTAGCTAATTTTTGTATTTTTGTAGAGGCGGGGTTTCACCATGTTGACCAGGCTGGTCTTGAACTCCTGACCTTAGGTGATCTACCCACCTCGGACTCCCAAAGTGCTAGGATTACAGGCGTGAGCCACTGCACCCAGCTTTTTTTGTTGAGACAGAATCTCGCTCTGTTGCCCAGGCTGGAGTGCAGTGGCACAATCTCAGCTCACTGCAACCTCTGCCTCCCGGGTTCAAGCGATTCTCCTGCCTCAGCCTAACGAATAGCTGGGATTACAGGCGATCACCACTATACCCGGCTAATTTTTGTATTTTTAGTAGAGATGGGGTTTCACCAAGTTGGCCAGGCTGGTCTTGAACTCCTAACCTTGTGATCCTCCCACCTTGGCCTCCCAAAGTGCTGGGATTACAGGTGTGAGCCTGACTTGTCCCCAGTTTTAAATATGGTGGTCTGGCCAGACACGGTGGCTTACGCCTGTGGTCCTAGCCACTTGGGAGGCTGAAGTGAGAGGATCGCTTGAGCCCAGGAGATCAAGGCTGCAGTGAGCCATGACCGTGCCATTACACTCCAGTCTGGGCAACAGAGTGAGACCCTGTCTCAAAAAATACAATAAAATAATAAAATAAATAGAGTGGTTAGAGAAGCGTTCTCTGAAAAAGTGATATTTGAGCAAAGATTTCTTTTCTTTTTTTTGAGATGGAGTCTCACTCTGTCACTCAGGCTAGAGTGCAGTGGTGCAATCTCCACTCACTGCAACCTCCACCTCCCGGGTTCAAGTGATTCTCCTGCCTCAGCCTCCAGAGTAGCTGGGATTACAGGCACCTGCCACCACGCCCAGCTGGCTAATTTTTTGTATTTTTAGTGAGACGGGGTTTTACTATGTTGGCCAGGCTGGTCTTGAACTCCTGATCTCATGATTCGCCCACCTCGCCCTCCCAAAGTGCTGGGATTACAGGTGTGAGCCACCACGCCTGGCCGTTTGATCAAAGATTTTAAGCAAGCAAAGGAACAAGCCTCTGTCTTCCTAGGCCTGCACACTTCCCCAAATCACCTTTTTTCACTGATATCTCTGTTTCCATTCTGGTCAAACTTTATGTATTTCTTTGGGTAAAGAGAGAGAACAGACAGGGTAAGCACTGGCTAGAGGGTCTTTGGCAGAGGATCGAGGAAGGCATTGCCAACCAAGTGCTAGGTTGAGGAGAGGATGTGGAAGGAGGAGATGGGGCAGGCAGAGTGGGCTTGGGGAGTTGAGGGACCATGTAAGGTGGATATACGGCTAGAAAGAAAAATACTTATTTTTTTTTTTTTGAGACAGAGTCTCCATCTGTCGCTAGACTGGAGTGCAGTGGCGCGATCTTGGCTCACTTCAACCTCCACATCCTGGGTTCAAGCGACTCTCCTGCCTCAGCCTCCCAAGTAGCTGGGACTACAGGTGCGCACCACCATGTTCAACTAATTTTTGTAATTTTAGTGGAGACGAGGTTTCACCATGTTGGCCAAGATGGTCTCGATCTCTTGACCTTGTGATCCACCCACCTTGGCCTCCCAAAGTACTGAGATTATAGATGTGAGCCACTGCGCCTAGCCAGAAAAATATTTATTGATCCTAAAGTGGAGTCAGCGCCACTGTTGCTGCTAGTGTTGAATCCAGAACCATAGCTGGACATGGGATCAGAGGATGAACAAGAGATGCTGACTGGGCCTAGAGATGGCAAGGAGGAGGAGGAAGAGGAAGAGGAGGAATTAGTCAATTCCTAACAAAAGCGAGAGAGCAGTGCGTGCAGCTGAAGAAAGGAGTAAAGTCTCGGAGCAGCTGGAGCTCTGTGATGAGCACGTGTCTTCCAGATCACAGACAGGAGAGGATTGCACAAAGCTCTTTGACTTCTCTAATGCAAGGGACCATTGCATGGCCCACAAATCCTTTAACAGTTTGAAATGAATGTGCAGACTCCTTCACCCCAGCTTTCATCACCTGGGCATTTCTCTATGGTTTTAAATATAACATTTGTTTCTAATTTGTGTAACTATAAGTCCATGTGAACCTCATGGATTTTTGGCTTAGGCAAATAGCTTCTCTGTAATTGGCAGCAATTCCATCTTAATAAGGGAACTGTGATTTGCAAAACGAAAAAATATACTGTTTTTTTCTTTTTCCTTTTTTTTATTCAAGGGCTAGTGAATCTTGGGATCTCAGGGTTACATCGAGGTATATTTATCATCATCATTATAGTCCAGGACTAAAAGGAAGTTATTCCAGGCTCTTTGCAAAGAATCTCAGTTTTTTTTGTTTGTTTGTTTTATTTTGTTTTGAGATGGAGTCTTGCTCTGTTGGCCAGGCTGGAGTGCAGTGGTGCAGTCTCTGCTCACTGCAACCTCCACCTCCCAGGTTCAAGTGATTCTCCTGCCTCAGCCTCCCGAGTAGCTGGGACTACAGGCACCCGCCACCATGCCTGGCTAATTTTTTGTATTTTTAGTAGAGACAGGGTTTCACCATGTTAGCCAGGATGGTCTCAATCTCCTGACCTCATGATCGGCCCGCCTCGGCCTCCCAAAGTGCTGGGATTACAGGCGTGAGCCACTGCGCCTGGCCAAGAACACCACTTCTTACACCAATCATGTGGAGACTTCTCCCACACCAATCAATTCTTCAGTTCTTGGTAGATATTAACTGGGAGTCCTGCAGTTTAATTCAGTTCTGACACTCTACCCATAATTACCAGTTATCTAATCCCCAAGTTGAAGGGCTCAGTTCTACAAGGCTGCCCCCACTCCAGATACCAATCACAAACAAGTCCAGGCCTCCTAACTGTTTTTATGACTCCCTCTTCTGGCTCAGTAATTCGCTGGAATAGCACGCAGAACTCAGGTAAACACTTTACTTATGTTAGCTAGTTTATTATGAAGGATAAAACTTAGGAACAGTCAGATGGAAGAGTTGCTCCGGACAAAGTATCGGGGAAGGGGGATTTGGAGCTTTCTTGTCCTCTCTGGGCACCTCCCTGCACCTCCATGTGTTCATCAACCTGGCAGCTCTCCAACCCTCATCTTTTTTGTTTTTTTTTATGGAGGCTTCATTATGCAGGCATACTTGATTCAATAGCCATTAGTTGGAGGTCAGAGGGTTGGAGCTAAAAGTTCTAACTCTCTAATCACACAGTTGCCTACCTTGGCAACAAACCCCAACCTTAGGGGCTTTCTAAAAGTCAACTTACTAACATAAACTCAGTTGTGGTTGAAAAGAGCTTGTTATGAATAACAAAAGCTCCCTTCACTTTATCATTTAGGAAATTACAAGGGCTTTAGGAGGTCTGGCCAGGAGCCAGGATGGAGACCAAAACACACACACACACACACACACACACGCACGCACACACACATTAATATTTTGAGACAGGGAGACAGGGTCTCGTTCTGTTATCCAGGCTGGAGTGCAGTGGCACAAACATGGCTACTGCAGCTTTGACCTCCCAGGCTCAAGCGATCCTCCCTTGTCAGCCTCCTGAGTAACTGGGACTACAGGCATGTGCCACCACACCTGGCTAATTTTTAAAATTTTTTTTAGAGACAGGGTCTCCTTGTGTTGCCCAGGCTGGTCTTGACTGCCTGGGCTCAAGTAATCCTCCCACCTTGGCCTCCCAAAGTGCTGGGATTACAGGCCTGAGCCACCGTGCCTGACCTTTTTTTTTTTTTTATTTTTTTTTTTTTGAGACAGTTTCTTGTTCTGTCATCCAGGTTGGAGTGCAGTGGCACCATCATAGCTCACTGCAGCCTCAACTTCTTGGGCTCAAGCAATCCTTCCATCTCAGCCTCCCAAGCAGCTGGGACCCGCACCACCATGCCTGGCTCATTTTAAAATTTTTTGTAGAGATGAAGTCTCGCCAGGTTGCCCAGGCTGGTCTTGAACTCCTGGGCTCAAGTGATCCTCTGGTCTCAGCCTTCTAGAGTGCTGGGATTACATGTGTTAACCACCACACCCAACCCATATATATACATATTTATTTATTTTTTCCCCGAGATGGAGTCTTGCTCTGTTGCCCAGGTTAGAGTGCAGTGGCGCGATCTCCGCTCACTGCAAGCTCCACCTCCCAGGTTCACGCCATTCTCCTGCCTCAGCCTCCTGAGTAGCTGGGACTACAGGCGCCTGCCACCACGCCCGGCTAATTTTTTGTGTTTTTAGTAGAGACGGGGTTTCACCATGTTAGCCAGGATGGTCTCGATCTCCTGACCTTGTGATCTGACCGCCTTGGCCTCCCAAAGTGTTGGGATTACAGGTATGAGCCACCGCGCCTGGCCTTTTTTTTTGTGGGGGGATGGAGTCTCGCTCTGTCGCCCAGGCTGGAGTGCAGTGGCGATCTCGGCTCACTGCAAGCTCCGCCTCCTGGTTTCACGCCATTCTCCTGCCTCAGCCTCCCGAGTAGCTGGGACTACAGGTGCCTGCCCCCACACCCGGCTAATTTTTTTTTGTATTTTTAGTAGAGACGAGGTTTCACCATGTTAGCCAGGATGGTCTTGATCTCCTGACCTCGTGATCTGCCCCCCTCGGCCTCCCAAAGTGCTGGGATTACAGGTGTGAGCCACCACACCCGGGCCCAAAAATATATATTTTTATTATAACAATATCACAATGGGAGAAGAACATTTCAGGTGGAGGGAACAGCAAGTTCAAAGGCCCTGATGTGAGAGCAGTGTGGATATCTGGAGTGTTCATGGAGTAGCAGGGAGGCCTGTGCTGCTGAAGCCAGGTGAGGAGGAGGTCAGCTTGGGTAGGGCCTTGTAAAGACTCTGGCTTTTATTCTGAGTGAGACTGCCTCCCAGACTGGTCTTTCCATTGAGAATGGCTTGACAGACTACTGGGGTGAGACAGTGCTTAGATGCTCAGAAAAACTGCCTGGGATAGAGAGAATGACAGCTGCTCTGACTGTGGGACAAAAATGAAGACTAGGCCTGGCGCGGTGGCTCACTCCTGTAATCCCAGCACTTTGGGAGGCCGAGGCAGGCAGATCACCTGAGGTCAGGAGTTTGAGATCAGCCCGACAAACATGGAGAAACCCCGTTTCTACTAAATGTACAAAATTAGCCAGGCATGGTGGCGCATGCCTGTAATCCCAGCTACTTGGGTGGCTGAGGCAGGAGAATCGCTTGAACCTGGGAGGTGGAGATTGCAGTGAGCCGAGATCACGCCATTGCACTCCAGCCTGGGCAATAAGCGAAACTCCATCCCCCCCACCAAAAAAAGTGAATACTGAAGGGTATATAGGAAGACAAGCGGGTGGAGAAGGAAACTCAGGGCCTTCTGAGAAGGAAACAGAGATGAGGGGAAAAGAATAGACATGCAAGAAGATGCTGGGGCTCAGAAAGTGATACCCCAAAGACTGGTGCTTTGAAATGCTGAGAGGCCTTAGAAGCTGCCTTAGAATTGTCCTACCACACTTTCTGGAATTTCCTTATCTGACTGAAAAAACTTCTTTGCAAAAGAAGTGCAATTGTCTTAAGACCTCCTGCCTAGAGATCTTATCAAATGACCAGATCAACCACCAGAGAGAAGATATTAGGAGTCATCATCATACCCAGATAGACTTTTCTTCTCTTTCTTTTCTTCCTTTTGAGTCAGCGTCTTGTTCTGTTGCCCAGCCTGGAGTGCAGTGGCATGGTCATGGCTCACTGCAGCCTCAACCTCCAGGCTCAAGTGATCCTCCCACCCTAGCCTCCTGAGTAGCTGGGACGACAGGCATGTGCCACCACGCCTTAGGTTTTTTTTTTTTTTTTTTTTGAGATGGAGTCTCTCTCTGTCACCCAGGCTGGAGTGCAGTGACATGATCTCAGCTCACTGCAACCTCCTCCTCCTGGGTTCAAGCAATTCTCCTGCCTCAGCCTCCGGAGTAGCTGGGGTTACAGGCGCCCGCCACCACGCCCAGCTAAGTTTTGTATTTTTTAGGAGAGAAGGAGTTTCATCATGTTGGCTCTGGCTGATCTCGAACTCCTGACCTCAGGTGATCCACCTGCCTTGCCCTCCTAAAGTGCTGGGATTACAGACATGAGCCACTGCACCCAGCCATGGTGACTAATTATCTTTTTTTTTTTTTTTTTGAGACAGAGTCTCACACTGTCGCCCGGGCTGGTGTGCAGTAGCGCGATCTCGGCTCACTGCAACCTCCACCTTCCGGATTCAAGTGATACCCCTGCCTCAGCCTCCCAAGTAGCTAGGATTGCAGGCACCCGCCACCACGTCCAGCAATTTTTTTTTTTTTTTGAGACGGAGTCTCGCTCTGTCGCCCAGGCTGGTGTGCAGTGACAGGATCTCAGCTTACTGCAAGCTCCACTTCCTGGGTTCATGCCATTATTTTTTTGTATTTTTAGTAGAGATGGGGTTTCACTATGTTGCCCAGGCTGGTCTCAAACTCTTGACCTCGTGATCTGCCCACCTTGGCCTCCCAAAGTGCTGGGATTACAGGCGTGAGCCACAGTGCTGGTCTTTTTTTTTTTTTTTTTTTTTTTTTTTTTTTTAGATAGAGTCTTGCTTTGTCACCCAGGCTGGAGTGCAGTGGCATGATCTTGGCTCACTGCAACCTCTGCCTCATGGGTTCAAGAGATTCTCCCGCCTCAGCCTCCTGAGTAGCTGGGACTACAGATGCGCGCCACCAAGCCCAGCTAATTTTTTTGTATGTTTAGTAGAGACAGGGTTTTGCCATGTTGGCCAGGATGGTCTGGATTTCTTGACCTCGTGATCCGCCCTCCTCAGCCTCCCAAAGTGTCAGGATTACAGGCGTAAGTCACCGTGCCTGGCTTCTTTTTTTTTTTTTTTTTAAATATAGAGACAATGGATCATAATATAGAGACATTCTCATCCTAATGTTAGCACAACGGGGATGCAGATGGTCAGGATCTGGAGACTTGCAGGAATAGAGCAGTGAGCCAAAGTGCAGCCTGGTTTATGCTTAATTATAACTATATTTCTGCCCAGATCCCAGCATGCAATTCTTGTCAATCTTGGGACAGTTTCAATTTACTCTATTGAAAGTTTTTATTAATATTTTGATAACTGGAATTTGATTTCGATGCAATTTTTTTTTTTTGAGACGGAGTCTTGCTCTGTCACCCAGACTGGAGTGCAATGGCGTGATCTCGGCTCACTGCAACCTCCGCCTCCCGGTTCCAGCAATTCTCCTGCCTCAGCCTCCCAGGTAGTTAAGATTACAGGCGCCGACCACCATGCCTAGCTAATTTTTTGTTTTTAGTAGAGACAGGGTTTTGTCATGTTGGCCAGGCTGCTCTCGAACTCCTGACCTCGGGTGATCCACCTGCCTCGGCCTCCCAAAGTGTTGGGATTACAGGCGTGAGCCACTGCGCCTGGCCGATTTGTTTTTGTATGTATATTTTTTAAATTTTATGCTTTACTAGAATGCCAAAGGGATCTGTGGCACAAAATAACTAAGAACCACTGCTGTAACCTCTCTCTCCCCTCACCCCTTTGAGCCTGGGAGTGGAAATATCCCCTGCAGTTCTCTTACATAACACTCCCACCTTTGTGTGTGCGTGTGTTTTGTTTGTTTTGTTTTGTTTTTGGGATGGAGTCTCGCTCTGTCACCCAGGCTGGAGTGCAGTGAAGTGATGTCAGCTCAGTGCAACCTCCACCTCCCAGGTTCAAGCGATTCTCCTGCCTCAGCCTCCCTAGTAGCTGGGACTACAGATGCATGCCACCACGCCTGGCTAATTTTTTGTATTTTCAGTAGAGATGGGGCTTCACCGTGTTAGCCAGGATAGCCTTGACCTCCTGACCTCGTGATCCACCCTCCTCAGCCTCCCAAAGTGCTGCGATTACAGGCATGAGCCACCGCACCCGTTGTCTTTAATAATTTTTTTGCCTGCTTAATATATAGTTTCTGAGAGATGTGAGTCTTCCTCTAATATTGTAGGTTACTTTTCTGTCGCTGCTGCACAAATTTTTTTTTTTTTTTGAGATGGAGTCTCACTCTGTCGCCCAGACTGGAGTGCAGTGGCGTGATTTTGGCCCACTGCAACCTCTGCCTCCTGGGTTCAAGCGATTCTTCTCTTGAGTAGCTGGGATTACAGGTGCATGCTACCACGCCTGGCTACTTTTTGTATTTTTAGTAGAGACGGAGTTTCACCATATTGGTCAGGCTGGTCTCGAACTCCTGACCTCGTGATCCACCCTCCTCGGCCTCCCAAAGTGTTGGGATTACAAGCGGTAGCCACTGTGCCTGGCCTAAACTTTTTTTTTTTAAGCATCCTTGTGCAGAGACTCCAAGGGCAAACAAGAGTAGTGCCAACCAGCCTGGCAGAGCTGAGGCAGGCCTGAACTCTGGCCCCTAGAGGGAAGAGGTGACTAGTCACTAGCCTTCCTTCATTCTCTCACCCAGAGAGAAATGGGGAAGGAAGAGAAATGGAGTAAAAGAATAAGGTATGTAGATGGGGAGAGATGGGAAGGGAAAACATGGAGAATGATGGGGAGGCAGAAAGCGATGCGAAGAGAGATGGAGGAAGACAGAGAGAGAGAAAGACGGAGAGGCAGACCAGACACGGCAGCTCACACCTGTAATCCCAGCACTTTGGGAGGCTGAGGCAGGTGGATCACTTGAGGCCAGGAGTTCAAGACCAGCCTGGCCAACATGGCAAAACCCCATCTCTACTAAAAATACAAAAATTAGCCAGGGGTGGTGGCATGTGCCTGTAATCCCAGCTACTCTGGAGGCTGGGGCAGGAGAATCATTTGAACCTGGGAGGTGGAGGTTACAGTGAGCTGAGAGCGCAAAAAAAAAAAAGAAAAAAAATAGAATGTCTCACGTGGAAGGTGCTCGCTGAATATTTGTTGAATGAGTGAATAAGCAGAAGTGTGTATGCATGTGACAGAGAGGCAGAGGGGTAGGGGTGTGTAGAGATGTGGCGTTTGAGTGGACACGGGGGAAGAAACAAGTAATATGAATAACATGGTGAGACAGAAAGAGTTGTGGACAGAGCTGTGGGAAATATGAGAGATAAGGAGAGAGATACTGAAAAGAGCGATTAAGAGAGATGAAGATAGGGTGTCTGGCCCATGGAAGGCCCTCGTGAAGAGCAATGCTGAATAGATGAATGAACCTCAATGCCCAGCAGTGGTGGGATGAAGGGGATGCTGTGCAGAAACCACACTACCCATCAGAGAAGCAACTCTGCTCGTTTCCCCTTGAGTTGATGAGGGATTTAGCAACCAGTGGAATGAAGAGCAAGGGAAAGACACCTGCGATCTTTCAGAAGCAAAATGGACAGGGCCTGGAGATCTTTTGGATGGGGGAACTGAGGGAGAAGGCAGAGTAGGATGAATCCCAGGTGTTTGCCTTAAGTGACTGGGGCTTTGTGTTTCCATTCACTGGGACAGGGATGACAGGAGGCTGACCTGGTCTGAGTGGACACTGATGACTTTGAAATGCCTGTGGAGTATTCAGGGTAAGCCGCCTAGAGAGCAGTTAGATAGTGTGGACTTAGGTCTCAAGAAAGAGGCCTGAGGGGGAGATGTAGATTGGGGACTTGACAGAGAATAAGCAGTAGTGACAACTGTGGCTATGACAGGATTGCCTAGGAAAGCCATGGTAGATGCGCAAAATTTATTGAATGAAAGTGGGAAGCCAGGTGCATGCCTATAATCCCAGCTACGTGAAAGGCTGAGGTCGGAGGAACACCTAAAGCCCGGAGTCAGGACTTTGAGACTAGCCTGGGCAACATAGTGAGATCTCATCTCAAAAATATATATAATAAAAAATATATAATAACACTTTTTAAAAAGAAAGTGGGGCCAGGGGTGCTAGCTCATGCCTATAATCCCAGCACTTTGGGAGGCCGAGGCAGGCGGATCACTTGAGGTCAGGAGTTCGAGACCAGCCTGACCGACATGGTGAAACCCCATCTCTACCAAAAATACAAAATTAGCTGGGTGTGGTGGCACATGCCTGTAATCCCAGCTACTTGGGAGGCTAAGGCAGAAGAATCACTTGAACGCAGGAGGCGGAGGTTGCAGTGAGCCGAGATCGCACCATTGCACTCCAGCCTGGGCAACAAGAGCAAAATTCTGTCTCAAAAAAAAAAAAAAAAAAAAGTGGGAGAAACAACCCAAAAATTTTCCAACAGGACAGTGGTATAAAAGCACACGTTTAGGGTACAGGAGTCTGGGGGACTCAGGTTGGATGGCTTTTATGTCCTTGGGAAAGAGGAGGTGAGATTTCAAAGTGAAACAGCTTCCATGGTGACAGGATCTGAGATGTAGGTCATGGAGAGTCAAGGTGATGATTGGAGTGGACAAGGTGAAATAACTGTGAAGTTGCACACTTAGGGTATTGAAAAGGCATTTGCGAGATGGGTACAAGAAGTTTCATAGCAGATTGAGCCATAATAAGAAAAACAAAAAATAGAAACAACCCAATTGTACTTCATCAGGTGAATAGATCAACAAGCTGTGCTACATCATATAAAGGATTACCACTCAGCAAAAAAAAGGAATGAAACACTGATACATACAACAGCGTGGGCGAATCTCACAGACATTAAGCAGAATGAAAGGAGCCAGATACAAGAGTATGTACTATATGACTCCATTAATATGATGTTCAAGAACAGACTAATCTATAGAGGCCGAGCGCAGTGGCTCAGGCCTGTAATCCCAACACTTAGAGAGGTCAAGGCAGGAGGATCACTTGAGCCCAGGAGTTAGAATCCAGTCTGGGCAACATAGAAGGACCTCGTCTCTACAAAAAAAAATTTTTTTTTTTTTTTTGAGACAGAGTCTTGCTCTGTCACCCGGGCTGGAGTGCAATGACGCGATCTCGGCTCACTGCAACCTCTGCCTCCCAGGTTCAAGCAATTCTCCTGCCTCAGCCTCCCGAGTAGCTGGGACTATAGGCATGTGCCACCACGCCCGGCTGATTTTTTTTTTTTTTTTTGTATTTTTAGTAGAGACGGGGTTTCACTGTGTTAGCCAGCATGGTCTTGAGCTCCTGACCTTGTGATCCCCCTGCCTCGGCCTCCCAAAGTGCTAGGATTATAGGCCTAAACCACTGCACCCAGCCTACAAAAAAACTGTTAAAAAATTAGCTGGGTGCGGTGGCATATGCCTGTAGTTGTAGCTACTCAGGAGACTGAGGTGGGAGGATGGCTTGAGCCCAGGAGGTCAAGGCAGCAGTGAACTATAATTGCACTACTGCATTCCAACCTGGGTAACAGAGCAAGACTCTGTCCCAAGAAAAAAGTCTACAGAGGTTAAAAATGGTAAAATGGTTGCATCTAGGAGGGGAAAGGGATTTACCAAAAAGGGGCATGGAGGAATTTTCCAGGATAATGAGAATTATCTATATCTCTATTACAGTGTGGTTGCATGGGTGTACATATTGGCCAAAGGTCATCAAACTGTACATTAAGATCTGTGCATTTTACTGTATGAAATTATATATCAATGTTTAAAAATGTCATTTATGGCTGGGCACGGTGGCTCACGCCTGTAATCCCAGCACTTTGGGAGGCCGAGGCAGGTGGATCACGAGGTCAGGAGATGGAGACCATCCTGGCTAACATGGTGAAACCCTGTCTCTACTAAAAAATACAAAAAAATTAGCCAGGTATGGTGGCTGGTGCCTGTAGTCCCAGCTACTAGGGAGGCTGAGGCAGGAGAATGGCGTGAACCCAGGAGGTGGAGCTTGCAGGGAGCCGAGATCACGCCACTGCACTCCAGCCTGGGTGACAGAGCAAGACTCTCTCTCAAAAAAAAAAAAAAAAAAAGTCATTCATATGGACATTAAGTCCATTAAGGAGTTGGCAGAGGTTGAAATAGAGAGGAAGTGGGCTGGGCATGGTGGCTCACGCCTATAATCCCAGCACTTTGGGAGGCCGAGGTGGGCGGATCACAAGGTCTGGAGTTCGAGACCAGCCTGGCTAACATGGTGAAACCTTTTCTCTACTAAAAATACAAAAATTAGCCTGGCATGGTGGCAGGTGCCTGTAATCCCAGCTACTCTGGAGGCTGGGGCAGGAGAATCGCTTGAACCTGGGAGGCAGAGGTTGCGGTGAACCAAGATCACGCCATTGCACTCCAGCAACAACAGCAAAACTCTGTCTCAAAAAAAAAAAAAAGAAAAAAGAAAAAAGAAAGAAAAAATAAATAGAGAAGAGGCTGCAGAGTCAGGGATGGGCTCTTGATGAATGTGAGGGCGAGTGGACGACACCAAGGAGAGATTGAAGGTCGTGAGGTCAGATGCTATGAGCCTCAGAGGAGAAGCTGTTCTCAGAAGCTGAAAGTATCATCACCTGGGAGCCATTCATTAGTTGAAAAATATTGATAAGACTTGGCCAGAGAAGTCACCCAATCTCACCCCTGCCAGCACGTAGAGGAACCCTGGTGGGGGTGGGGGAAAGATGAGATCACCTGTGCTGGATTGTGGACTTTTGTGTTTTCACCTGTTTTCATGGTCTGAGTTGGGAGTTTATTGGCCTCAACTACATCCAGCCAGCCCACAGCTTGTTGTTAAAGAAGTCAGACCAGAGACTGGGTGCGGCGGCTCACGCCTGTAATCCTAGCACTTTGGGAGGCTGAAGCAGGTGGATCACTTGAGGTCAGGAGTTCAAAACCAGCCTGGCCAACATGGTGAAACCCTGTCTCTAGTAAAAATACAAAAAAGTTAGCCAGGCATGGTGACAGGCGCTGTAGTCCCAGCTACTTGGGAGGCTGAGGCAGGAGAATCGCTTGAACCCGGGAGGCAGAGGTTGCAGTGAGCGGAAATCACACCACTGCACTCCAGCCTAGGCGACAGAGCGAGACTCCCTCTCAAAAAAAAAAAAACAAAAAAAACACACACAAAAACAGAGACCAGTGCACATCCACTTCAACACTGTTTTATTTGTTGCCTTTCCTCTTGAGTGCCTGGGAATAATTTCTTTAGAAAAGTTCCATCCTTGGCCAGGATGGATGCAGTGGCTCACGCCTGTAATCCCAGCACTTTGGGAGGCCGACGTGGGTGGATCACGAGGTCAGGAGTTCAAGACCAGCCTGGCCAAGATAGTGAAACCCCGTCTCTACTAAAAATATGAAAATTAGCTGGGCATGGTAGTGGGTGCCTGTAATCCTGGCTACTCAGGAGGCTGAGGCAGGAGAATCTCTTGAACCCGGGAGGCGGAGGTTGCAGTGAGCCGAGATCGCACCACTGCACTCTAGCCTGGGTAACAGAACAAGACTCTGTCTCAAGAAAAAAAAAAGAAAAAAAAAGTTCCATTCTTGTGCCCACTGTGCTGATTAGCGCAGCAGTTCCTGTCTTGCAGGTTAGCCTTCCCTAGAGGTTCTCAGAGTTATTAAAAGGGGTCCCTTGAATGTACACACATATCAGGATTTATTCTAGATGGACTGAAAAAAAAAACCCACATACTGTCTTTGGAATCTGGAACATTTTTAGCTATGACAAATGTTTAGAAGTCTTAGATATAGAAAAGAGCTGGGAGAGCAGGATGCCCTTGAGTCCAGGTGTAGCAATGGCACTGCCACCCTTGCACAGGACGGGGGAAGCACTGGAGAAGAACCACACATTGAACACCTAGGGCAATGGGGTCTGGAAGTTTACAGGTGGTACCCCCAGTTTACAGTAGTGGCACCAGGACTCCAACCTAGGCTGATTTGTCTTCTAAGCCACATTGCCTTGGGACGTGGAGTAGAACCATGTGATTGAGTGTACACTGTGGAAGAGTGGAGTTTGTTTTTTTTTTTTTTTGAGACGGAGTTTTGCTCGTTGCCCAGGCTGGAGTGCAGTGGCACAATGTTGGCTCACTGCAACCTCCGCCTCCTGGATTCAAGTGATTCTCGTGCCTCAGCCACCCAAGTAGCTGGGATTACAGGCACGCACCACCACGTCTGGCTAAGTTTTGTATTTTTAGTAGAGATGGGGATTCACCATGTTGGCCAGACTGGTCTCGAACTCCCGACCTCAGGTGATCTGCCCACCTCGGCCACCCAAAGTGCTGGGATTACAGGCGTGGGCCACTGCTCCCGGCCGGAAGAGTGGAGTTTTATCCCCAGCCAGTTACTTATTCCACGTCCCCACTGGTGGTGACCTCTTCTCCCTCCCCAAACCGTGGGCTTCTTACAGCTGAGATAGTAGAGACAATTTTTCCTATATTGATCCTTTGGGGTGTGAATGGGGTGTTGATAGAAGGAGGCAAGCAAGGTAGGGGATCGGGCAGAAGCTGGAATCAAGGCCCAGTTGAGAAAAGCCACCATTGGTAGCTCGGGCCTCCCATGCTCTCTGACCACCAGGGGGCAGGCCTTGCCTTGCCATGACGCCTCCATCCCACATCCTCTAGTTAGATATCCCTGGGGTGGCAGCCACTTCGCTGCTGGAGAATGGCTGAGTTGGTCCTTCCCAGGTTGTGTGGCATGTGTGGTTGTTCCGGTAGCTTAGGGAGGTAAAATAATTTGTTCAAGATTAGACTGGGCACAGTGGCTCACACCTGTAATCCCAGCACTTTGGGAGGCCGAAGTGGGAGGATTGCTTTAGGCCAGGAGTTTTAGATCAGCCTGGGCAACACGGTGAGACTCTGTCTGTACAAAAAATAAAAATAAGTGAGCCAAACGTGATGATGTGTGTCTGTAGTCCCAAATACTCTGGAGGCTGACGTGGGAGGGTCACTTGAGCTCAGGAGTTCAAAGTTCAAGGCCACGGGGAGCTATGATCATATGATCACACCGCTGCACTCCAGAATGGTTGACAGAGTGAGACCCTGTCTCAAAAAAAAAAAGGTTGTATAACATAATTGTGGGGATTGCGGGGGAGCTGACATTTGAACCTAGACTCATTCCAAACCAGCATTCTTAACCATGAGATGACTGCTTCTCCAAAAGAAAGCTCTGAATTACTTCAGTGATGGGTGGGAACTGGACAGTCTACAAAAGTACTGTGACACAGAGCTAGAAACACAGATACAAAGGAAAAAACATATATTAGGTCAGGTGTGGTGGCTCACACCTGTAATCCCAGCACTTTGGGAGGCCAAGGCGGGTGGATCACTTAAGGCCAGGTGTTTAAGACCAGCCTGGCCAACATGGCAAAACTCCGTCAGTACTAAAAACACAAAAATTAGCCGAATGTGGTGGCACACGCCTGTGAACCCAGATACTCGGGAGGCTGAGGCACGTGAATCGCTTGAGCCTGGGAAGCAGAGGTTGCAATGAGCCAAGATTGTGCCACTGCACTCCAGCCTGGGCGACTGAACGAGACTGTCTCACAACAACAACAGCAACAACAACAACATGTATTCATATAAAATGAGCCAGGCTGGGCGCGGTGGCTCACGCCTGTAATCCCAGCACTTTGGGAGGCCAAGGCGGGCGGATCACAAGGTCAGGAGTTTGAGACCAGCCTGGCCAACATGGTGAAACTCAGTCTCTACTAAAAATACAAAAATTAGCTGGGTGTGGTGGCGCACGTCTGTACTCCCAGCTACTCGGGAGGCGGAGGCAGGAGAATCGCTTGAACCCGGGAGGCAGAGGTTGCAGTGAGCTGAGATTGAGCCATTGCACTCCAGCCTGGGCAACAAGAACAAGACTCCATCTCAAAATAAATAAATAAATAAAATAAATAAAAGGAGCCAGACCAGGAGTTTGAGACCTGGACAACATAGCAAGATGCTGTCTTTCAAAAATAAATAAAAGTAAAAAGTCAGGTGTGATGGCACATACCAGTATTCCAAGCTACTTGGGAGGCTGAGGCAGGAGGATTGCTTGAGTCCAGGAGATCGAGGCTGCAGTGAGCAATGATCACACCACTGTATTCCTGCTTGAGTGATAGAGTGAGACCCTTGTCTCTAAAAAATGTAATAGTAAAAGGAGCCAGAAGGGGGCATGCGGTAAGGGGTGGACACATGGCATATTACATGTCATCCTTCACTTCTATGTGCTGTATTATCTCCTGTAGCTGTGTGATACACATACAAGAGTGTCTGGCATACTCTTGTACCAATCCCTGTAGAGGTATTACCTTGTTTTATTGTGTTCCACAGATGTGCATTTTTTTATATATTGAAGTTTGTGGCAACCCTGTGTTGAGCAAGTCTGTAGGTGCCACTTTTCCAATAGCCTGTGCTCACTTTGTGTCTCAGTGGCACATTTTGGTAATTCTTGCAATATTTCAAACTTTTTCTTGATTATTTTATCTGTTATGATCTGTCAGTAGTGATTTTTTTTTTTTGAGACAGGGTCTCACCCTGTCATTCAGGCTGGAGTGCAGTGGCAAGATCATAGCTCACTGCAGCCTCGAAATCCTGGGCTCAAGTGATTCTCCTGCTTCAGCCTCCCAAGTAGCTAAGACTACTGGAACACACCAGCACACCTGGCTAATTTTATCTATTTATTTATTTAGGCAGAGTTTTGTTCTTGTTGCCCAAGCTGGAGTACAATGGCACGATCCCAGTTCACCACTACCTCCGTCTCCCAGTGATTCTCCTGCCTCCGCCTCCCGAGTAGCTGGGATTACCGGCATGCGCCACCACGCCCGACTAATTTTGTATTTTTAGTAGAGACGGGGTTTCTCCATGTTGGTCAGGTTGGTCTTGAACTAACGACCTCAAGTGATCTGCCCTCCTTGGCCTCCCAAAGTGCTGGGATGACAGGAGTCAGCCACTGTGCCTGGACTTTTTTTTTCTTTTTTGTAGAGCTGAGGTTGGCCAAGCGCAGTGGCTCATGCTTGTAATCCCAGTACTTTGAGAGGTCGAGTGGGCAAATCACTTGAGCCCAGGAGTTTGAGACCAGCCTGGACAACATGGTAAGACCCTGTCTCTACAAAAAATACAAAAATTATCTAGGCATGGTGGTGTGTGGCAGCTACTCAGGAGGCTGAGGTGGGAAGATGGTGTGAGCCCATGAGGTTGAAGCTGCAGTGAGCCGTGATTGTGCCACTGCACTCTAGCCTAGGCAACAGAGTGAGACCTTGTCTCAAAAAGAGAGAGAGAGAGAGAAGGTCTTGCTCTGTTGCCCAGGCTGGAGTGCCATGGAGCCATGGCTTTCACAAGCAAAATCGTAGCATACTGCAGTCTTGAACTTCTGTCCTCAAGTGATCCTTCCACCTCAGCCTTCTGAGTAGCAGAGACATAGGCACATACCACTGCACTTGGCAAGAATTAGCTAAATTTACTCTGCCACGCTGTGTAAATGGAACAATAAAGCCTAGATGGCTGGATGTGGTGGCTCATGCCTATAATCC
Source organism: Homo sapiens (assembly GCF_000001405.40). NCBI lineage: Eukaryota > Metazoa > Chordata > Mammalia > Primates > Hominidae > Homo > Homo sapiens. Next base: position 2,895,089 of record NT_167249.2, on the reverse strand, counting down.
CAGCACTTTGGGAAGCTGAGGTGGGCGGATCACCTGAGGTCAGGAGTTCAAGACCAGCCTGGCCAAGATGGTCAAACCCTGTCTCTACTAAAAATACAAAAATTAGCCGGGTGTGGTGGCAGTCACCTGTAATCCCAGATACTAGGGAGGCTGAGGCAGGAGAATCACTTGAACCCAGAGGGCGGAGGTTGCAGTGAGCTAAAATTGCACCACTGCACTCCAGCCTGGGTGACAGAGCAAGACTCCATCTCAAAAAAATATATAAATAAATAAATAAATAAATAAAAGCCTAGATGATAGTACATCTGTTTACAACGTGGTTTACTGATTTTAAAATTTTTCTTTTTTTTGTTTGTTTGTTTGTTTTTGAGACACGGTCTCAATATGTTGCCCAGGCTGTAGTACAGCAGCATGATCTCAACTCATTGAAACCTCTGCCTTCCAGAGTCAAATGATCCTCCTACCTCAGCCTCCTGAGTAGTTGGGACCACAGACATGAGCCACTATGCTCAGCTAATTTTTGTATTTTTTGTAGAGATAGGGTTTCGTCAGGTTGTCCAGGCTGATCTCCAACTCTTTTTTTTTTTTTTTTTTTTTTGAGACAAAGTCTTGCTCTGTCACCCAGGCTGGAGTGCAGTGGCGCAATCTCGGCTAACTGCAACCTCTGCCTCCAAGGTTCAAGTGATTCTCCTGCCTCAGCCTCCTGAGTAGCTGGGACTACAGGCAGATGCCACCACACCCAGCTAATTTTTTGTATTTTTAGTAGAGATGGGGTTTCACCGTGTTAGCCAGGATGGTCTCGATCTCCTGAACTCGTGATCCGCCCGCCTCAGCCTCCCAAAGTGCTGGGATTACAGGCATGAGCCACCATGCCTGGCCTGGCCTCCAACTCTTTAACTCAAGTGATCTGCCCTCCTGGGCTTCCCAAAGTACTGGGATTACAGGTGTGACCCACCATACCTAGCCAAAATTATTTTTTTTTAAACTCCATTTACTACTATTCCCAATTTAAATTGTATTTTATTTAGAGACAAGGTCTCCCTCCATTGCTCAGGCTGAAATGCAGTGGCAAAATCATAGCTCACTGCATCCTTGAAACTCCTGGGCTCAAGGAATCCTCCTTCCTCAACTTCCTGAGTAGCTGGTACTATAGGTGTGTGCCACTATGTCCAGCTAAGTTTAAATTTTTTTGTAGAGACAGGGTCTTGCCATGTTGCCCAGGCTGGTCTCAAACCCCTGGCCTCAAGCCGTCCTCTCACCTTGGCCTCCCAAAGTGCTGGGATTACAAGTGTAAGCCACTATGCCCCGCTGGTTTACTGAATATTTTAAGCCTACTGTTGAGGTCTACTGCTCCGAAAAACAAGATTTCTTTAAAATGATTACTGCTCATTGACAATGTACATAGTTATCCAAGAGCTCTGATGGAGATGTCCAAAGAGACGAATGTTGTTTTCTTTTTCTTTTTTTTTTTTTTTGAGACGGAGTTTCGCTCTTGTTGCCCAGGCTGGAGTGCAATGGTGCGATATCAGCTCACTGCAACTTCCGCCTCCTGGGTTCAAGTGATTCTCCTGCCTCAGCCTCCCGAGTAGCTGGGATTACAGGTGCGCCCCACCACACCCGGCTAATTTTGTATTTTTAGTAGAGACGGGGTTTCTCTATGTTGATCAGACTGGTCTCGGACTCCTGACCTCAGGTGATCCTCCCACCTCAGCCTCCCAAAGTGCTGGGATTACAGGCATGAGCCACCACGCCCAGCTGAATGTTGTTTTCCTGCCTGCTAACATAACATCCATCCTGTAGTCCATGGTTTAAGGAGTAATTTAGACTTTCAAGTCTCATTATTTAAGAAATACATTTCGCCAGGCATGGTGACTCATGCACTTTGGGAGGCCTAAGTGGATGGATTGTTTGAGCCCAGGAGTTGGATACCGGCCTGGGCAACACAGGGAGACCCCATCTCTACAAAAAATACAAAAATTAGCCTGGTGTGGTGGTGTGCGCCTGCAGTCCCAGCTACTCAGGAGACTGAAGTGGGAGGATCAACTGAGCCCTGGAGGTTGAGGCTGCAGTGAGCCGTGATGGCGCCACTGAACTCCAGCCTGGGTGAGACAGAGCCAGACCCTGTCTCAAAAAACCAAAACAGGAATCCCAGCACTTTGGGAGGGCGAGGCTGGTGGATCACTTGAGATCAGGAGTTGGAGACCAGCCTGGCCAACATGGTAAAACCCTGTCTCTACAAAAAATACAAAATTTAGCTGGGCTTGGTGATGTGCGCCTGTAATCCCAGCTACTTGGGAGGCTGAGGCAAGAGAATTGCTTGAACCCAGGAGGCAGAGGTTGCAGTGAGCCGAGATTGTGCCACTGCATTCCAGCCTGGGCGACAGAGTGAGACTCCAGCTCAAAAAAAAAACAAAAAACAAAAAAACCCAACCAAACACACACACACACACACACACACACACACACACACACACACACACACAAGGTGATTGCTATGCAAATTAAATATAGCTTCACCAATCAGCTTGCTTCTCCTAATCCCTCATAGAAATCTTGGAGTAGCCCTGGGGTGCAGTGAGGCCAGATTCCAGGAAGGGAATGGGTGGGATGGGTCTGGGTACTGGTGAGCAGCAGGGAGGGTAAGTAGGTTAGCTTCTGGGCCAAGGAGGGCTCCTGGAGGCTTGTTCTGGGTAAAAGCTGGTCTCCTTGAACCTCGGAAGGTGGGGGAACCCACATCCTGGTCTCACCCGCCCAACCGCCCACTCACCCTTGGGTTAGCAGCCATCTAAGCCCCACCCTCCCCCTCACACGCTTAGCTAGCCTGCCACAAGCTGGCCCCTTGGCCTCCTAGAGACCCTGACATCTCCTCCAGCAGCATCTGTCCTCTCTCCTCAGGGAGGCAAGCATTTGATGCTCGAGGTCCCTGGCAGTTGTGGTCCTTGGCAAGTGATGTGTGAGTCCCGTGTGTCATAGGAAGCTCCCCATCCCCATCTGGTGACCAAAGGCCTGGCTACAAGTAGTGAGTCCTTCCTCCTCCACCCAGACCTCACTGCTCAGATCCCCTTCGCCAACTGGGACATCTTCCGACATGGCCTGGATGCTGTTGCTCATCTTGATCATGGTCCATCCAGGTGACAGGGCGTGCGCTCAGGACCCCAAGGAGTGTGGGTGGGAGGAGGGAGATCCAGGAGGCTGGACTAGATGCTATAGGGAACGGGCTTGGTGGGGGCTGAAACACACGGCTCTGAGGGAGGAGTGGGACTGCTCCAAAGGTGACACTCAGTGGACTCCCCCAATTCACAGTCTCTCTGTGTCACCCACTGTGAGGCTTTTTAGTTTGAGAGATCCAAGTAAATCTATGATAAATTTCTTGGTGAAACTTTTTTTTTTTTTTTTTTGAGACTGAGTCTCGCTCTGTCGCCTGGCTGGAGTGCCGTGGTGCGATTTTGGCTCACTGCAACCTCTGCCTCCCATGTTCAGGTGATTCTCCTGCCTCAGCCTCCTGAGTAGCTGGGACTACACGCACGCACGACCACACCTGGCTAATTTTTTTTTTTTTTGAGACGGAGTCTTGCTCTGTCACCTAGGCTGGAGTGCAGTGGCATGATCTTGGCTCACTGCAACCTCTGCCTCCTAGATTCAAGCAATTCTCCTGCCTCAGCCTCCTAGGTAGCTGGGATTACAAGCGCGCACCACCACACCCAACTAATTTTTGTATTTTTAGTAGAGACAGGGTTTTACCATGTTGGCCGGGCTGGTCTTGAACTCCTGACCTCAGGTGATCTGCCTGCCTCGGCCTCCTAAAGTGCGGGGATTACAGGCCTGAGCCACTGCGCCCAGCCATTTTTGTATTTTTAGTAGAGATGGGGTTTTGCTATGTTGGCCAGGTTGGTCTCAAACTCCTGATCTCAAGTGATCTGCCTGCCTCGGTCTCCCAAATTACTGGAATTATAGGCATGAGCCACTGCGCCCGCCTGGTGGTGAAACTTTTTTTTTGAGACAGTTTCATTCTGTTGTCCAGTCTAGAGTACAGTGGCGGTATCTCAGCTCACTGCAGCCTCCACCTCCTGGGTAAAAATGATTCTCCTGTCTCAGCCTCCCAAGTAGCTAGGATTACAGGTGCATGCCATTACTGCTGGCTAACTTGTGTATTTTTAGTAGAGACGAGGTTTCACCATGTTGGCCAGGCTGGTCTCAAACTCCTGACCTCAGGTGATCCACTCGCCTTGGCCTCCCAAAGTGTTGGGATTATAGGCGTGAGCCACTGCACCCGGCCGAAACTGTTTTTAATGAACTGAGAGACCTTAACTATCAGGCATATTATTAACTAAATGCAGGAGTTCTCAAAATGTGGATTTCTGGGAACCTAGAACAAATTCTTAGGCCCCACTCCAGACCTACTGAGTCAAAAACTCGGGGGGTAGGCCCAGGAATCTGTTCTAGCAGATGCTCCAGGTAATTTCCATACACACTCAAGTTTGAGAACCACTGAAATAGAATGACTTGTAAATTTCCCTAAGTAGATAATTTAATCAGGGATTTTAATATTTGGTTTAATTCATCAACATGGACGGGTTAAATAGGAATCTCAACCAATTAAGGCCACGTCTTCACCTGGAGATTTAATTAGTTACTTTCTTTAACGAAAACCAAGAGTGGCTGGGTGCACTTTGGGAGGCCGAGGCAGGTGGATCACTTGAGATCAGGAGTTTGAGACCAGCCTGGTCCGAGGTGGGTGGATCACTTGAGGTCAGGAGTTTGAGACCAGATGGTGAAACCCTGTCTCGACTGAAAATACAAAAATTAGCCAGTCGTGGTGGTGGGTGCCTGTAGTCCCAGCTACTTGGGAGGCTGAGGCACCAGGATCGCTTGAACCCAGGGGACGGAGTTTGCAGTGAGCCAAGATTGCACCACTGCATTCCAGCCTGGGCAACAGAGCAAGACCCCATCTCAAAAAAAGAAAAAAGAAAAAGAGGAAGGATGGCTTACTGTACAATGCCATTTGTACTAAAATAATACCTGGATAATATAATGAGTGATATTAGTTAACTAGGCAGCTGCATTCATTAATGAGCTTAATTTCACCATGATGGTTTACATTTCAGCTAGACAAGTTACTACTGAACTGGCTGGAGAATGATGGCAGAGGGTGAGAGTGAGAGTTGGTATAGGAAGAATTTGAAAAATGATTTTTATTTTTTATTTTTTGAGATGGAGTCTTGCTTTGTCGCCCAGGCTGGAGTGCAATGGCGCAATCTTGGCTCACTGCAACCTCTGCCTCCCGGGTTCAAGCGATTCTCCTGCCTCAGCCTCCCGAGTAGCTGGGATTACAGGTGCACACCACCATGCCCGGCTAATTTTTGTATTTTTTTAGTAGAGACGGGGTTTCACCATGTTGGCCAGGATGGTCTCGATCTCCTGACCTGGTGATCCGCCCACCTCGGCCTCCCAAAGTGCTGGGATTACAGGCGTGAGCCACTGCACCCAGCCGAAAAATGATTTAATAAGCAATGTTAAGAAATCAGATTGGTTAAGAGGGAAGGGTTTAATGAGGCCCCAAAGTATCTATTCCCATGCACCCTATGCCTGGAGAAAGCTGGGATGTTCTACTCCAAGCTCTGTTGTCTTTTCTCTTTGGAATAACTGGGGAGGTGTTTCTCTGGGTCTTCCTTCTGCCCCCAGGATCCTGTGCTCTCTGGGTGTCCCAGCCCCCTGAGATTCGTACCCTGGAAGGATCCTCTGCCTTCCTGCCCTGCTCCTTCAATGCCAGCCAAGGGAGACTGGCCATTGGCTCCGTCACGTGGTTCCGAGATGAGGTGGTTCCAGGGAAGGAGGTGAGGAATGGAACCCCAGAGTTCAGGGGCCGCCTGGCCCCACTTGCTTCTTCCCGTTTCCTCCATGACCACCAGGCTGAGCTGCACATCCGGGACGTGCGAGGCCATGACGCCAGCATCTACGTGTGCAGAGTGGAGGTGCTGGGCCTTGGTGTCGGGACAGGGAATGGGACTCGGCTGGTGGTGGAGAAAGGTGAGATGCTGGGAGGTGGTGTCTCCTCCTGGCTGGAGGCCCCAAGAGGCAATGTCCTTGGGAGGCAGGGATGCTCCTCTGAGGCCCCTTCCCTCCCTGAGCCTGTGTGCACTTCTTCCCCAACCCCCGTCTCCATTGCCCCATGCAGAACATCCTCAGCTAGGGGCTGGTACAGTCCTCCTCCTTCGGGCTGGATTCTATGCTGTCAGCTTTCTCTCTGTGGCCGTGGGCAGCACCGTCTATTACCAGGGCAAATGTGAGTAATGGAGCCAGGGGCAATAGTGGACGGGATGGGAGGGGCAGTAAGAGAGTGGGAGGAGGGAGGACAGAGACCAGGAAGAGGAGAGCCTCGGGACTGCAACACTGAGCAGCTCCTGTCCTCTCTCTGACCAGGCCACTGTCACATGGGAACACACTGCCACTCCTCAGATGGGCCCCGAGGAGTGATTCCAGAGCCCAGATGTCCCTAGTCCTCTTCAAAAGACCCCAATAAATCTGCCCCACCACTAACTCCTCATGAGTCTCAAGTGTTTTCTTCTCCATTCTCCAGATGCCAAATCTACTCTCTCCGGATTCCCCCAACTCTGAACTTTCCCTTCCACCAGGTCTGACCTGGAAAGGTCCAAGAAGGCAGCTGCCGGCTGTGGTCCCAGCGCCCCTCCCACCACCATGTGGGAGCTCAGCACATCTGCTTCCCCCAGTCCCAGGAGGCTGAGCCTGATTGTCCTGAGAAATGGGAAGGATCAGATATGACTCCTCCTTGGCAACTGCCCTTTCCTGCCAGGCCCACACATACCCTCTTCTGGCTGTTAGGGGAGCTTGGGTCCCTGAACACTGTCATTCACCCAATAAATTACTATTTGACCCCAGAGTGGGTGGAAGGGTGAGCCATGTGTTTTTTTTATTTTAATTTTTAAAAAATTTAAAAAATTCCCTATTCAAAGGTCAAAAAGCCACATAAGTTTTGATGATGATCAATTTGAACGGAGGCTCGAGATGGACTGAGAGGACTGAGACACAGAAGTGGGGGGACCATGGTTTTTACTGGCTGGACCACAGGGGGACCCTGTCCACCCGCCTGGGTTGAGGAAGGTGTCTGGGGTGCTCAGGTGGGTTTGTTCTCAGCAATGCAGGCATAGTCAGCTCTTGGATCCTCCTTGGTGCCTCTCTTGTCTCTGCCCCTGAGGTCAGGTCCCTCACTGCTGGGCACTGGCAGCCTCTGCAGAGATGCATAGTGGAGTTCCTGCTCTGAGGAGCCCTGGGCCTGGGACCAGGACAGAAGGTGCTGATGGGAGGCGATGCCGTCAGATCCTTCCCTGTGAGTTCTGCTCCCACCTCCAGCCTTTCTTACTTCTCTCCCTCTCTCTCTCTCTCTCTCCCTCTCTCTCTCTCTCTCTCTCTCTCTCTTTTTTCTTTGGAGACAGAGTCCCACTATGTTGTCCAGGATTGTCTTCAACCCCTGAGCTCAAGCTATCTTCCTGCCTCAGCCTTGCGATAGCTGGAATGACAGACGTGAGCCACTGTGCCTGGTTCTGGAGCCTCTCTCTCTCTCTCTCTTTCATTGCTCTTCTCTTTGTGTCTCTCTCACTCTCATTTTCTCCCTGTCTCTCCTATCCTCTGTCTCACTTTTTCTCTTGGTTTCTGTCTCATTTTCTCTTTCTCTTTTGCCTCGATTTTCTCTGCCTCTCTCATGCTCCTACTTTCTCTCTCCTTGTCTCCCGTCCCCAACCCTCCTCTCAGCGCTCAGCCATGCTTCTCCCCACTCACCCACTCAGGATCTCTCTTGCCCTCCCCCTTCCCTGTCCCCAGACTCACCCAGCTCCTCTCCAGCCTCTTTACTGGAAGAAAAGAAGAAGCTCAACACAGCCCACCCTTTGTGCTTCTCCCGGGCCCTCCCGGGCTCCCCCCACCAGCAGGCGTGGACTCCCCTGTTGGCTTCCCAGTGGCTCCAGGGCCAGGCAGTGTTCTGGGAAAGCAGTGGGAAAGCGTGTGGGGGTGGGGGCACAGGGGGCACTGCTGCAGGGGGAGGGAGGGAGTGCAGCGCTCACCTCTTCGATGCAGCCAACACAGGCAGGCGGACAGAAGGACCACTGCCAGAAGCAGGAGCCCGCCCAGCCCCAGGCCCCCGTAGATACATATATCTTCAGGGAAGAGGGCTCAAGGTTAGGAAGCCCATTCCTTCTCCAGCGTACCCCAGCCTCCTGGTTGGTTGCAGCTTTCTCAGATTCCCTCTCCAACAGTTTTAGAGGCAGAAAAATATACCCTCAGAGCTTCTCCATCCCAGACCTTAATACCTCACCTCTTACCAGGTTTCTGGGCCTCCCGTGAGGTCCCTTTCCCTCCTGTACCAGCTGTCCCCAGAGGCCTGTTCACCTAGTCATGAGCTGCATACATCACTGTTCCCCATCACTTCCTAAGCTCCCAGGACTCTCTCTATGCAGATGCAAGAGACACTTTACTTACCATCATTCCGCGATAACATTAGGTCAGGGATCAGGGACTGGCCTGGAGGTCAGGAACTCTAGTCCTTGCTCTTTTAGGCGAAATGATCAGGGGCTGGTGACTTGCCTCAAGTTCCTCATCTGTGAAGTGAGGGGCCCTCTGTTATAATCGTTCCCAGGCTGGGGAGCCTCCCTTATGTGCCAACCCTGAGCTGGGCACTTTCCATTCCTCACTGCTAATCCCCAGAACATAGGGTATCATGGTGCCCGTTGCCCAAGTAAAGACCCGAGATTCAAGCCTGGACTTTACTAGGTCACCCATCCCAGAAAGGTGGAGCTGGGGTTTAAGGCCAGCTCTGCCCAACTCCAGAGCCCAGCCCTTTCCTCTGCCCTGGGCTGACCACGTGGTTTGGAGGGGACTTTTCAGCCCTGGATGGTTCTAGGTGCTGGTAAGGGGATGATGGAGGGGAAGGAGCCTGGGCCTGGGTGGGTGTGGGCACTGGGGGGAAGAAGGGAGGGTGATATCAGCACACCCAGCAGGTGGGCTGCTCCCTGAGCCGCAGAGCAGCGCGGGAGTGTGGGGGCCCCCTTGGCTGGTGTGGAGAGCTGCTTCCCACAGGCAGATGCTGCTAGGGCTGAAGTGGGGCATGGAGGAGTATCTGGGGCCCCATAACTTCCCCTCAGGCACTTCCTCCCCTCCAACCACTGGTTCCTGTTTGAGGGTGAAGAGGGGGCCGTTCTCTTCACCCCAGAGCCAGATATACTGACTAGGGTCTGGAAACTGGGACCCTTCTGGGTTTAAGAGGAATTCTGGGGGGTGGGGAGCAGAAGTGCAGGTGGAGGCCATAAGGGCCGTGGGCACAGAAATGAATTGTCTTTAATTTCTTTGGGGAGCAGAGACTCAGAGGATTCCTCGACGGCCCAGGGAAACTCAAACCCATACTCTCCCTCCCCTCATCTTAGCTTCACCCCACTCTGGGGTGTGACCATCCTTCCACCAAGGTCCCTGCCCATTCCCAGCTTACCCAGAGCTTGTGGCCTGCAGGATGGACAGACTCCAAACTGGCCAGTGCTGTCTGGCTGAAGAGAAGTGTTGCCACCTCAGACATTCCTGCCCCTCCTCTGGCTTTAACTTCTCCCCCAGCCTGGGTTCCTCCCCAGCATTGTTAGGAGAGGAAGTTCGGCTCCAGGGTTAGGGTTACAACATCTTTCTTTTCAAACTTCTGGGCCTGTAGCTAGGGCCATAATCTGCCTCAGCTCCAGTCATTTCACTGATCCTGCCACTAGTCAGCAAACACCCACCACCTTCAGGTGTCTTCCTTGATTAACTCTTCTCTATTACCTCTTACACTGCATCTGTTGAGACCTCTTGATCTTGGCATATGTCTGTGGACACATGTACCCTGCTCCAGTTCAGACTGGGAGCTCTGGCATATTTGGTGTTCTGGTGACCCACTTGGTGTTCTGCAGCTCTATGCAGCAGGCTGCTTGGCTGTCTGATTAACAAACATGAGAGTTAAAGGCAGCCATACTAGATCTACATGAGCCCTGTGGATAGATCAAGGACAGAAAGTTGGTGACAAGTTGGTGACAGGAAAGGAGGTGTGGGCAATACAGGTGGACTTCCTGTAGGAGGCAGCATTCTGGCATTGAACACAGAACTAAGTAAAGGCAGCGGCCTGAGGCTCTCTGGAGAGACCTGGGTGAAGGCTTCTTAGTGGCACTGTGATGGAGAAGGAGATGGGTGCTGGAGGATTGCACACCCACTCCTTGAGGAGGGTGAAGACTGGGGAGCGCCTGTAAGGCAAGGGGTGAGGAGGAGATGTGGTGCCTGGGTGGGTCCATATTAATTTGCGTTTCCCCTTCCAAATTCAAGAACCTTCTACTTCCTCCCCCACCCTTCTCCCCATCCTCCATGTTCCCCATGCTGAATAATATTCAGGGTTTTTTGTTTGTTTGTTTTGTTTTTTTTACATTTTATTATTAAAAAGTGCAAACATAGGGTGAAATGAGAATAATTGTACAGTGAACATATTCTTACCACCTAGATGCTACTATTAACATTTTTTGTTTTGTTTTGTTTTTGAGATGGGGTCTCACTCTGTCACTCAGCCTGAAGTGCAGTGGTGAAATCATAGCTCACTGCAGCCTTGAATTCCTGGGCTCAGAGGTCCTCCCACCTTAGCCTTCTGAGTAGCTAGGACTACAGACACCAGCTACCACATGAGGCTTTGTAGAAATGGGGTCTTACTATGTTGCCCAGGCTGATTTTGAACTCCTGGTCTCAAGCAATCTTTCCACCTTAGCCTTCCAAAGTGCTGGAATTACAGGAGTGGGCCACTGCACCTGGCTCTATTAACATTTTTTATTTGCTTTATCACATATTTATCAATCCATCTCACTTTTAAATATCTTTTAAAATTACAAATATCAGTACATTTTACATCTAAACCCTTCAGAAGCTTAACATTGACTGGAGTTCAGTATTTATTTCCCCATTTCTTTTCTGGCCTGAGGAAGGCAAATTTTACATACAAATCTCAAGTCAGTACTCTTTTTTTTTTTTGAGACGGAGTCTTGCTCTGTTGCCCAGGCTGGAGTCCAGTGGTGTGATCTTGGCTCACTGCAACCTCTGCCTTCTGGGTACAAGCGATTCTCCTGTCTCAGCCTCCCAAGTAGCTGGGACTACAGGTTTGTGCCACCATATCCAGCTAATTTTTGTATTTTTAATGGAGAAGGGGTTTCACCATGTTGGCCAGGCTGGTCTCAAACTCTTGACCTCAAGTGATCCACCTGCCTTGGTCTCCTAAAGTGCTGGGATTATAGGTGTGAGCCATCTCGCCTGGCCTAATACTGTTTTGTTTGTTTGTTTTTGTTTTTAAGACAGAGTCTTGTTCTTGTCACCCAGGCTGGAGTGCAATGGCATGATTTCGGCTCACTGCAACTTCCGCCTCCTGGGTTCAAGTGATTCTCCTGCCTCAGCCTCCCAAGTAGCTGGAATTAAAGGTGCCTACCACCACGCCCCGCTAATTTTTATATTTTTAGTAGAGATGGGGTTTCACCATGTTGATCAGGCTGCTCTCGAGCTCCTTACCTCAGATGATCCACCTTCCTTGGCCTCCCAAAGTGCTGGTATTATAGGCAAGAGCCACTGCGCCCAGCCCCAGTATTCAGTTTTTAAACTGTCTTGTTATCAAGGCTCTGGAGCCAGATGCCTGGGTTCAAATTCTGGTTCTGCCACTGACTCTGTGAGCTCCATAAGTTTCTTAACCTCTCTGTACCTCAGTTTCCTCTTAGGGTTTTTGTCAGGATTATAATTATTGGCTGGGCATGATGGCTCATGCTTGTAATCCCAGCACTTTAGGAGGCCAACACGGGCAGATCACGTGAGTCCAGGAGTTTGAGCCCAGCCTGGGCAATGTGGCAAAAATCCATCTCTACAAAAAATGCAAAAATTAGCTGGGCATGGTGGCATGTGCCTATAGTCCCAGCTATTCAGGAGGCTGAGGTAGGTGAATCCATAGATCCTGGGAGGTCAAGGCTGCAGTGAGCCATGATCCTGCCATTGCATTCCAGTCTGGGTGACATAGCGAGACCCTGTCTCAAAAAAAAAAATTATTAAAGTGTGTAAATCAGTGGCATAAACATGTTAAGTGCATTTTGTGGGTCAGCTATATTATTATTAGTATTACGGAAACACATAGAGATGTTACCAAGAAGGGGAGATGATTGGAGCCACTTCCAGCTTCCTTGGACCTGGTCTTTCTTCCCTTGACTCTTTTTTTTTTTTTTTTTTTTTTTTTTGAGAGAGAGAGTCTCAGCCTGTTGCCCAGGCTGGAGTGCAATGGTGCAATCTTGGCTCACTGCAACCTCTGCCTCCCAGGTTTAAGTGATTCTCCTGCCTCAGCCTCCTGTGTAGCTGGAATTACAGGCGCGTGCCACCACGCCCGGCTAACTTTTTGTATCTTTAGTAGAGACAGGGTTTCACCATGTTGGCCAGGCTGGTCTCGAACTCCTGACCTCAAGTGATCCACCTGCCTCAGCCTCCCAAAGTGTTGGGATTACAGGTGTAAGCCACTACCCCGGCTACTCCCTTGACTCTTAACCACTCATGCTGCCTACATCTACCATTCATGTGGTCCTTGCTGCTTTGTTTTGGTTATTCCTGCATTTATTTGTCCTTTTATTCATTTATGTATAAACATTTAGTAAGCACCTACTAATGGATAGGGCTCATTGTAGACTTGGAAGCTCTCTGAGGGTGGGAGTATGCCTCGTCCATCTGTCTTTACTTTTTGTAGCAAGGGAGGTAAAGCTCCATTTCCATCCCTCCTTAGTGAGTCAGTAGTCAGTGGTGAGGCTAAGGCTTACCTCTCCCTTTCTCACTCAGCACAGGGGGCTGGAGATGAGCAAGGGAACGGGAGGAGGTCAGCCCAGTATGGGAATCAGTTCTTCTCAGGGAACCCAGACATCCATCCCTCAAGATTCCAGTCCTTGTCCTAGTCCGGCCCTTGACCTCAGAGACGGGATCAGCTCTTCCTCCAGCACCTACCTTGAGGGTATAGAAGAATGCAAACCACATTGGAAACCTGGAGATCTGTGTTCTCATTTCAGCTCTGCTGACTGGCTTCCTGCAAGCTACCTTCCCTCCCTGGGCCTCAGTTTCTCTCTCTGCTGAGCCAGAAGATGTCTAAAGACCCCTTTGGTTCCACCCTGAGAGCCTGTCTCCCTAACCTCAACTTCTTCCCCAGTTCAGAGAACCCAGGCATCCAGCTGCCCCACCCCAGCTCTGGGTAAACAGGAAGCTGGGTGAGGGGAGCAGGGGTGTGCGGAAAGTCCCAGCCAGGTGTGCAGGTCTACAGGGAGGGGGTGGGCCCGTCCCTGAGGTATGAAAGCCCCCTGCTCTGGCTCTGGTTCAGTCTCAATGGGGGCACTGGGGCTGGAGGGCAGGGGTGGGAGGCTCCAGGGGAGGGGTTCCCTCCTGCTAGCTGTGGCAGGAGCCACTTCTCTGGTGACCTTGTTGCTGGCGGTGCCTATCACTGTCCTGGCTGTGCTGGCCTTAGTGCCCCAGGATCAGGGAGGACTGGTGAGTGGCTGCAACAGGCCCTGGTGGAGAGTTGTATCTTGCGGATGCTTGGCTCCCTCTGGTTGTGCCTGTGGTCTTTTGCCCCCTCTGGCTCAGCTGGCTCGGCTGTCCCTGGTGGGGATGTCTTGTCTCTTTGCTGACTCTCTTTCCATGTTCCTGTGATGTTGTGCTTGTGTCCCGACATAAGCCCCTTGTGTCTCCTCTCCTCTTCCCGAGGTACATCTGTTTCTCCGCCCAAGTACCTATGCCTTGCTTGTTCTCCCTTCTAAGGAGGTGTGTGTTGGGGATGGTGCTGGTAGGAGAAACCCCAGGCCTGCAGCTTGGGTCCACTTTCAGAGGGGTAGGGGTGACATGAGCTGAATCTGAACTCTGGGCACTGTGACCCCACCCAACCAGGTAACGGAGACGGCCGACCCCGGGGCACAGGCCCAGCAAGGACTGGGTAAGAGCAGACTGTCTCTCCTTCCCCGCTTCAGACCCTCAGGGGCTCCCAGCTCCCTGCTGCGTCCCCAGATACCTCTTCCTCTAGGAATCCAGGCTCCCCATCCCTGCGCCCTGTTCTCTCAAGGGTAGCCTGCATGGGTGGCTGCCCTGCCCCCAATCGTGGACTCTTTGCCCCTTCCAGGGTTTCAGAAGCTGCCAGAGGAGGAGCCAGAAACAGATCTCAGCCCCGGGCTCCCAGCTGCCCACCTCATAGGTAAGGACCTCCAAGACCTGAATAAGAGTGTAAATAATCCGAAGGTTCCAGTTCTGCTCGCCCAGAGTCCTTCGGCTCCATGATTCCAGTGCTCGGTTTCCCACCCGCTTCACGACCTTTTGTCGCTCGTGCCCACTCTTACGCTCGTCCCCGCAGTGTAGTTTCTTCTTCCCTCCGGTGCAAGCAAAAGCCGGCCTGGAGGTCCCCACTACAGCGTTCTGCACCCCACATCCGTGTTCCCTCGGCCCCCAACTCGCACTCATCCCAGAAACAGCACCATCCCTCCTCCCCCGGCCCGGCTCGGCTCCCGCAGGGGCTAAAAGCCGCCACTTCCCCAGAAGTCCCAAGCCTTTAGGATCGCATTCCCAAGAGCGCGTCGGCCCGTGTCTCCGCAGGCGCTCCGCTGAAGGGGCAGGGGCTAGGCTGGGAGACGACGAAGGAACAGGCGTTTCTGACGAGCGGGACGCAGTTCTCGGACGCCGAGGGGCTGGCGCTCCCGCAGGACGGCCTCTATTACCTCTACTGTCTCGTCGGCTACCGGGGCCGGGCGCCCCCTGGCGGCGGGGACCCCCAGGGCCGCTCGGTCACGCTGCGCAGCTCTCTGTACCGGGCGGGGGGCGCCTACGGGCCGGGCACTCCCGAGCTGCTGCTCGAGGGCGCCGAGACGGTGACTCCAGTGCTGGACCCGGCCAGGAGACAAGGGTACGGGCCTCTCTGGTACACGAGCGTGGGGTTCGGCGGCCTGGTGCAGCTCCGGAGGGGCGAGAGGGTGTACGTCAACATCAGTCACCCCGATATGGTGGACTTCGCGAGAGGGAAGACCTTCTTTGGGGCCGTGATGGTGGGGTGAGGGAATATGAGTGCGTGGTGCGAGTGCGTGAATATTGGGGGCCCGGACGCCCAGGACCCCATGGCAGTGGGAAAAATGTAGGAGACTGTTTGGAAATTGATTTTGAACCTGATGAAAATAAAGAATGGAAAGCTTCAGTGCTGCCGATAAAGATGCTGAGTTGCGACACACGTCTTAATTCAGGGTGGGTGCACGGGTGCGGGTTAAATATTCTCAGTACTCTTCTGGTTGCTTGAAACAATTCATCACAACACAGTGTATGGCCTTTGCTCCTAGGGATGATGGTCTGCCTGTCCCACCCCCTCCCTGCCTCTGAATGGCCAGGCCCCACCATTAGCCCAGTTGGAGGGTGGGAGGAAGGGGGACTTCTCAAACTCCGAAGCTTCTCTAGGCATCCTGATTTTCAGGGCCACATGGTCCCAACCAGACTCTGCACCATACTCTTTTCTCTTGGGTACCCCCCAACAGTGAGAGGGGTCATTACAGAGCCCAGCAAGCACCACTCAGAAAGGCCCAGCAGCAGAGTAAGCCCCTATCATGACAGAGGAATGAAGCCTGGAGGGGCCCCGCACTTCTCCCCCTAGAGCTGCCTGAAGGCCTCTCTGTCTCCTACCCGACAGTCAACTCTTCTCCTCCAAGGAGCTTAATTCAAGGCTCATGGGGTCTGAAGGGAGGAGGCTGAAGGAGAAAGAAGGGGAGAATATTAGAGAGAGATGGGGATGGCAGGAAGGAGCCTGTGGTGCCTGAAAACACCAGGAAGTTCTGGGGAGGAGGAAAAACCGATGCCCCACTTAGGGTGTCCCATTTAGGGTGAGACGGAAAATCCTCACCTTTTTTTCACACTTTAGGTCCCCCTTCCCAAAAGTGAGTAAGTGTGGGTGCTTCTGGGATGAGTAACAGTGTCCCCCATTACTTCATGGCTGACTTTCAGCCACAGGCTGGAGGAGGCAGAGGGTGACCCAAGGCCCTATCTAGGTCACCCCAATGGGTCACCCTACCCCCTCAGCCTACCACATGGTTTTCTCTTGCCTGGCACCCCAGGGCTGGAGGTAAAGCCTAATTTCCGAACTCAGTGGGGGCTCCCAGTCTAGGGGGGCTCAATTTCCGTCTCCATATTTGTTTTTGGAATTATTATTTTTTTGAGACAGGGTCTCGTTCTGTCACCCAGACGGGGGTACAGTGGCATGATCATAGCTTACTGTAACCTCAAACTCCTGGGCTTGAGTGATCCTCCTGCCTCAGCCTCCTGAGGAGCTAGGATTACAGGCATGCACCACTACACCTGACTAATCTTTAATTTTTTTTCTAGAAACAAGGTCTTGCTATGTTGCACAGGCTGGTCTTGAACTAGTGGGCTCAAGTGGTCCTCCCACCTCAGCCTCCCAAAGTGTTGGGATAACAGGCATGAGCCACTGCGCCCCACCCTTATTTGTCTTTGACTCTCTCCAGAAGAGCCTTCATCCAGGGAGGGGGTGCTTTTCTCTTTCCGGATTACCCACCTCTCACCTCTCCCCTCCTTCACCACAAAGACCAGTGGGACCAAGCCGGCATGTGAGTCCTTCACCCACATCTTATTCCTATGTTTCATTCTTTTTTAAAAAATAGAGACAGGATCTCACTATGTTGCCCAGGTTGCTCTGGAACTCCTGGGTTCAAGCGATCCTCTCACCTTGGCCTTGCAAAGTGGTAGGATTACAGGTGCATGCCACCACGTCCGGCAGTTCGGTTCCTTGTTCTTTATTGTCCTCAGTCTCTTCGATTTCACCCACTGAGAGAATGGAAGGGGATAGAACAGCTGGAAACTGGTTGAAGGAAGCCAGAATTCACTAAGTGCCCACTGTGCCAAGGGCTGAGTGAGGTCCTCTGATGGAGGTCAGGCCTTCTCTCACATGCCCTATGTGTGGTGGACATTCCTATCCCCATTGGATAGATAGGTTAAGTGGCTGGTTCAGGTTGCAGAGTTAGGACAGGGTGATTTGAAGCCTAGACACCCGAATCTCTGGAAGTCCCTTGGCTGTGTGATTCAGGTACCTGAGAATGCGGCTCCTCTCCAGCTCTCTCCGGACTGCTGGCCAGCTGCAACAGCCGGAAATCTCACCTGAGCTGCAGGATTTTCCCAGCAAGGATTGGAATTCCCAGAGTTGGAAATTCCCATGCCCTGAGGGAGAGGTAATTAGGTTCAGGCTCTTGTTTCCTGGGGGATGGGGAATATTCTGTTGGGCTTTGTTTATGTAGGGTCTCCAGGGCCCTAGGAGTCTAAGGATGGGACTGGGTCCGAGGGATCTTAAAGCCTGTGGAGAGAGGACTTAGGGAGCTTCTTCCCACCCACAAGAAGAGGCAGATGCAGAATTAATTCCAAGAAGGAGACCATGTTTCTTTTCTAAGCAAACTTTATTTCTCGCCACTGAATAGTAGGGCGATTACAGACACAACTCCCCTGGGGAGCAGAGGCTCAGCAATGAGTGACAGTTGGTCACCAAATCAGCATTGTTTAGACAACTTAATCAGATAAATATTTTAAAAAACATAATCAAAAGAAGGCACAGAGGCCAGGGGGCTACATGGGAACAGCCTATTGTTCAGCTCCGTTTTCACGGAAAACATGTCTGAGCCAAGGCAGCTCCTACATTGGGTCCCCCAGGATACCCCGGTCTCCCAAATAAATACATTCATCTGTAAATAAATAAATAATAAATAAATAATAAATAATCACAAGTGCAAACATAAATAGAGGGAGCTGGCTCCATGGGGAGGGCTGGGCTCCGTGTCTCAAGGAAGTCTGGAAACATCTGGAGAGAGGAAGGCCTAAGGTCCACTTGTGTCAATTTCTAGGTGAGGTCTTCTCAAGTCCTGCAGCATTCTGGCCAGAACCAAAGGCTCCCTGGTCTCCAGATTCCAGATGTCAGGGATCAAAGCTGTAGGCCCCAGTGAGTTCTGGAGGCCCCAGTTTGAATTCTTAGTGGTTGCCAGCACTTCACTGTGCAGGCCACACATTCCTGAATCCCAGGTTTCGAAGTGGTGGTCTTGTTGCTTAAAGTTCTAAGCTTGGGTTCCGACCCTAAGCCCCCAATTCTCTTTTTGAGCCAGAAGAGGTTGAGGGTGTCTGAAGGAGGGGGTAATAAAGGGATTGGGGCAGGGGAGGCGTTTGGGAAGGTTGGATGTTCGTCCTCCTCACAGGGCAATGATCCCAAAGTAGACCTGCCCAGACTCGGCAAAGTCGAGATAGTCGGGCCGATTGATCTCAGCGCTGAGTCGGTCACCCTTCTCCAGCTGGAAGACCCCTCCCAGATAGATGGGCTCATACCAGGGCTTGGCCTCAGCCCCCTCTGGGGTCTCCCTCTGGCAGGGGCTCTTGATGGCAGAGAGGAGGTTGACCTTGGTCTGGTAGGAGACGGCGATGCGGCTGATGGTGTGGGTGAGGAGCACATGGGTGGAGGGGCAGCCTTGGCCCTTGAAGAGGACCTGGGAGTAGATGAGGTACAGGCCCTCTGATGGCACCACCAGCTGGTTATCTCTCAGCTCCACGCCATTGGCCAGGAGGGCATTGGCCCGGCGGTTCAGCCACTGGAGCTGCCCCTCAGCTTGAGGGTTTGCTGGAGGGAGGGAGAGAGGGAGAGGAGAGTCAGTGTGGCCATGTCGGTTCACTCTCCACATCCTGGCCCTCGAGCTCTGCCCACCCCACATCCGGTTCCTGTCCTCTCTGTCTGTCATCCCACATCCCACCTGGCCATGACGTTCTGAGTATCCCACTAAGGCCTGTGCTGTTCCTCCACCCTTCCCTTGAGCTCAGCGAGTCCTTCTCACATTGTCTCCAAGTTCTGCCTACCATCAGCCGGGCTTCAATCCCCAAATCCTAGCCCTCCAAGTTCCAAGACACATCCTCAGAGCTCTTACCTACAACATGGGCTACAGGCTTGTCACTCGGGGTTCGAGAAGATGATCCTGAAGAGGAGAGAGAAAAGAAAAAGCTGAGACCCTTAAACTTCCTAGAAAATACCCCCCTACTTTCACCTCCATCCATCCTCCCCCAAGACCAAAACTTTAAATTTCCCCCACTGCTTCCATACCGGTACTAACCCTACCCCCAAACCCAAACCCAGAATTAGGAAAGAGGTTTGGAGACACTTACTGACTGCCTGGGCCAGAGGGCTGATTAGAGAGAGGTCCCTGGGGAACTGTTGGGGAGAAGGAGAATGGTTAACATCGAGGGAGTCACCCTTAAAGGAGGAACAGCTGGCTGCCTGTCTGGCCTGCGCTCTTAGCCCTGAGGTGTCTGGTTTTCTCTCTCCATTCATCTGTGTATTCACCTTCCAGGCATTCAACAGCTCTTTCCCTGAGTGTCTTCTGTGTGCCAGACACCCTATCTTCTTCTCTCCTTATCTCCCCCATCTCTCTCCTTAGCTGTCATATTTCCCGCTCTTTCTGTCTCACCATCTTTATTCATATCACTTGTTTCTTCCCCCATCTCTCTTCTCACACCCCACATCTGTCTCCATATCTTATTTATATATCTGCTTGTTCATTCATTCATTCATTCATTCACTCCATACACACTTAGTGAGCACCTTCCATGTGCCAGACATCCTGTCTCTCCATCTTTCTCTCTCTCTCTTCCCCATCTCTTGCCACATCTCTTTCTGCATCCCCGTCTTTCTCCACGTTTTTTTCTCTCCATCCCTCCCTATCAGCGCACATCTTTCACCCATCCCATCTCTCTCCCTCTCTTGCGTCTCCATTTCCCCTTGGGTGGGAGAGTGGATGAAGGCTGGCCAGGCACTCACCTCTTCCCTCTGGGGGCCGATCACTCCAAAGTGCAGCAGGCAGAAGAGCGTGGTGGCGCCTGCCACGATCAGGAAGGAGAAGAGGCTGAGGAACAAGCACCGCCTGGAGCCCTGGGGCCCCCCTGTCTTCTTGGGGAGCGCCTCCTCGGCCAGCTCCACGTCCCGGATCATGCTTTCAGTGCTCATGGTGTCCTTTCCAGGGGAGAGAGGGTGGAGCCGTGGGTCAGTATGTGAGAGGAAGAGAACCTGCCTGGCAGCTTGTCAGGGGATGTGGCGTCTGAGGGTTGTTTTCAGGGGGGGTCTGTAGTTGCTTCTCTCCCTCTTAGCTGGTCCTCTGCTGTCCTTGCTGAGGGAGCGTCTGCTGGCTGGGTGTGCCAACAACTGCCTTTATATGTCCCTGGGGCGAGAGGAGGGCGGGGAAAGAATCATTCAACCAGCGGAAAACTTCCTTGGTGGAGAAACCCATGAGCTCATCTGGAGGAAGCGGTAGTGGGCCCTGCACCTTCTGTCTCGGTTTCTTCTCCATCGCGGGGGCGGGGATTTGGAAAGTTGGGGACACACAAGCATCAAGGATACCCCTCACACTCCCCATCCTCCCTGCTCCGATTCCGAGGGGGGTCTTCTGGGCCACTGACTGATTTGTGTGTAGGACCCTGGAGGCTGAACCCCGTCCCCATGCCCCTCAAAACCTATTGCCTCCATTTCTTTTGGGGACCAGGTCTGTGGTCTGTTTCCTTCTAACTTCCAGACAGGATGCAGGAAAAAGATAGAACTAGAACTGGGAGGGGCTTCAGAAAGCTGAGTCCTTGAGGGAGAGAAAACGGGGTTGGAGGGAAAAGCTGTGTTGAGTCCTGAGGCCTGTGTTTGGGTCCCTGCGGGGAGAAGGAGCTGGGGGCTTGGTGGCAGGCTTGAGGCCTCAGGAAAGGCTGGGTGGGGGTAGCAGGGACAAGCCTGGGACAGCCCCGGGGAGTGAAATCACCCCCGGGAATTCACAGACCCCACTGGGGCAGGCCTTCTTCTTTCATTCTGACCCGGAGACTCATAATGCTGGTTTCAGTCTTGGCTTCCAAGGAACTCTGGGGTCCCTGATTTTTTTCATGAAGCTCTCACTTCTCAGGGCCCCAGTGTGTGGCCATATCTTCTTAAACGTCCCCTGTATTCCATACCTGGAGGTCCTGGAGGCTCTTTCACTCCCTGGGGCCCTCTACATGGCCCTGTCTTCGTTAAGGGGGGGTCCCCATACTCGACTTCCATAGCCCTGGACATTCTCCTACCCATTGCTGTGGTCACATCTCCCCAGAGGTCTCCTGTAACCCATTCCTCAGAGCCGCTACATGTGGCCATATCTCCCAGGAGCTCCCTGACCCCCGCCCCTCCAGACCCTGACTTTTCCTTCATCTTCTCAGCTTCTCCTTTGCTTCCCCTGCAGCAGTCTGGCGGCCTCACCTGGTGAGTCCATCACATATCCCTGAAGCTCTCTGAGCCCTTATCCTTTTGTTCTCCCCACAGCTCTTGCTCCCTTTGAGCCCTCTGTCCCTCCCTCCATTCCTTAGATAGACTGGGAAGTTCTCACTCCCAGACACACACACACAAGCAGACAGCATTTCAGAGAAAAGAGGTTTATTGGGCTTCATCGAGGGTGCAGATGCCTCCGTGTGGGGCTCTGGTCGGCAGCTGGCTTTCAGAGCCTTTCCCTGCCTTCTGGGGCCCTGTGATCCCTCATGCCTACTTCTTTCTCTCTTGGTCAGCCTTGTGCGCATGCCCTCTCACTCTTCATCTCTTGGGCCTGTCTCTGTTTCTCCTTGGATGTTCTTCTATTATTCCCCTCTCTCCATCCTCCATAAATAAATAATTTAATTTTTTTGCCTTCATAAATAGTCCCCTCCCTGCCTCTAGTCATCCCCCAAGCTCCTCCATGTGCCTGCTCTTCCTCTGTGTGTGGATCTAGGCCCCACCTAGCTGGTGGGACAGACCAACAGCTTTGGGCTGGGAATTCCTAGGCAGGCTTGAAATCCTCAGCCAGACAGACATCAGGGATGGTTCAGGGAGGTGTGGTCCCCTGGGATGCCTAGAATTCCTTCTTTGAAAGCTCCGGTGACTTGATCAGGGAAGACTTGAGCTGTTGGAATGGCCAAAGGAGAGGTGGTGACGACCCCTGAAATGGTCAGAATGGAGGCAGAATGGGGAGAAGGTCTTGAAATCAATTATTTTTTCTTTCTGGATTTTTCCAAGTTCTACAGAGCGAAGGCTCCAAAGAAGACAGTACTAGGGCTGAGGACTAGGTGGGGGATGCCATCTGTGTGGGTGGATAGCTGGTCTCCCTGGGTGAGCTGGAACGCAGCCCCGTGGTACATCGAGTGCAGCCAGGGTTCCTGCAGCCCTGGATACACCATCTTCTGGGAGCTGAGGAGAGGCACATGGAAGGGGTACTGGGAGGAGAAGAGCTGGACCTCATGGGCCAGGTAGAGTGGGGAGGAGGTGGCCTTGGGAGAGTAGGCTTTCCCAGAGAAGACCACCTGGGAGTAGACGAAGTAGATGCCACTGGTGGGGACCAGGAGAGAATTGTTGCTCAAGGAGAAACCATCCTGGAGGAAGGCACGGTCCGTGTTTGCTCTCCAGAGCAGTGAGTTCTGCTTGCTGGGGTCTCCTAGGAAGAGCCATAGGGGATGGGGGTGGGAGATCAGGGGTCTGGATCAGAGGTCTCAATCCCTGAGGAAGTGGGCACTGAACAACTGAGTTCCTGGGGGATGGCAGGGGGAGGCATAGGAGTGGGCTCCCTCTGTTTTTTTTAGCGTGGGGGAAGTTGGGGGAGAGGGGTGGATGCTTGGGTTCCTGAGGCAGGGGTAGGAGGAGAGCTGGTGGGGACATGTCTGGGAGGTCAGGTGGATGTTTACCAATGAGGTGAGCAGCAGGTTTGAGGGTGCTGTGGGCAAGATGCATCTTGGGGTGCTGACGGGCAGTCTGGGCAGCTGAAGGTGTGAGGCCAACACCAGGGAGCCCCTAGGGGAGAACAGAGTTGAGGGGGGCTCTAGGGCTCAAGGTTTGGCTGAGCCACCCCAGCAGCCCCCATTCTCCTGCTGCCTCACCTGGGCCCCAGGCAGCAGAACCAGCAGCAGCCCCAGAAGGAGGAGGTGTAGGGTGGTGCCACACACCCTTGGGAGGAAGAGACGTTCAGGTGGTGTCATGGGGAGAACCTGCAGAGAAAGAGAGAGAGAGAGAGAGACAGTGAGCGGGGCGGGGCACGCGGCGGAAGACAGACCTCCCGCCCTGGGAGAGAGCACCCCCCGACCCCCGAGAGAGAGATCGACAGAGAAGGGGACAAGATGCAGTCAGAGAAACCCCAAGGTGAGCAGAGGGAGACAGAGAGAGACAGGAAGGGAACAGAGAGGAATCATGGCAGAAACAGAGAATGTGTGACAGAGACAATGAGACTGACAGATGGAGAGTCAGAGACAGAGAAGGAAACCAAAACCAAACCCACCAAGGCCCAGGCCCAGGCAGGCCGGGGATCCAGGCAGCAGGTGCAGGAGGGACCGAGGCCCAGGCAGAGGGCAGGACACTGCTGGGCGGTAGTCCAAAGCACGAAGCACGGGCAGCCCAAGGAGATGGGGCAGGAGAGCCTCACCTGCTGTGCGGAGCCCCTGGGCCCGGACGCTCAGGTCCCTTTATAGAGGAAGCGGCAGTGGCAGCGTGGCAGGCAGCGGGCGGGTTCTAGGTCGGGGCTGGGGCCCGGGGAAGCCCCCAGGGCTTAGAAGATACTGCTGTTTCAGTCAAAGGCAGGAAAGGCTGAGGCCTAGGAGAGAACCACAGGCTGGGGGTTCAGGCGACTGAGTTCTGGGAAAGGGAGTCGGGTCAGGGGAATCGTGGGCTGGGAGGGCCAGGGAGTGGGGTCAGGCCTAGAGTTCCAAAGAAGGGACAGTCAATTCAGAGAGGAGGTGGTTGAGCAGCTGGGGTGTGAGCTGGAGGCCCGGTTCCCTGAAGAGCAATCATATATAACATCTCTGCACCCTTGGCTGAGTACAGGCTTCTCTCTTTGCCCATTTCCTTCTCTTGTACCCCTGTCCTTGTCCCAAACAACTCAAATCATACTTGTCCCAGTATACGGACTTTCCAGCCCATCTGGCAGGTTTCACATCAAGAAGGTCCATTATATATCCCCTTCATCGGGGACATTCTGGTGTTTGCCTCTTGTCCAGGTGAAAATATTAATGGATCCCCCTTCCACTCTTGAAAGTGTCCTAGTTTGGAAGATAAATTTTTTGGTCCCCTCACTCAGAGATGATGCTGGACAGTCAAGTATGATGAGGTCTCATCTCACTCCTGAAGGATGCCCTCCATCTCTTCCTGACTTCAGGTGGCTTCCACAGAACAGATTTATATAACCCCAAATAAACACACATTCCAGGATCAATGTGGCAGACACCTTCCAAAGTTTTCTACAAAGGAAGTTTCAGAATTCCACATGGGTGAGGCTTAAGGGTGGTGACTTAGGGTGGGGTGGGGACAGCTAAGGGACTTGTTCTGAAGCTGCATTTGCAGAGCCAATACATTATTTTAAAATTGTTCCAGGCCTGGTGCAGTGGCTCACACCTGTAATCCTGGCACTTTGGGAGTCTGAGGTGGGCGGATTACTTGAGGTCAGGAGTTTGAGACCAGCTGGCCAACATGGTGAAACCCCATCTCTATAATAAATACAAAAATTAGCCAGGCGTGCTGGTGCGCATCTGCAGTCCCAGCTACTCGGGAGGCTGAGGCTGGAGAATTATTTGAACCTGGGAGGCGGAGGCTGCAGTGAGTCAAGATCGCACCACTGTATTCCAGCCTGGGGGACAGAGCAAGACTCTGTCTCAAAAAAAAAAAAAAAAGTTTCCAAAATTTTTTTCCTTTTTATTGATATGTAACTTAGGTATGAGGTGGACACCTCTTAAGTGTACAGCTGATGAATTTTTCCATCTGTATGTAGCCACCACCCAGCTCCACGTATTTTCAGGTCCCCAGCAGGTTCCCTCATGCCCCCTCCCTGCTGATACCCTCCAAAGATAACCAACCACTCTCTCACTTTTATCACCATAGATTATTTCCTCCTGGTTTGGGGCATCATATAAATGAAATCACACAGAATGTACTCATTTCTGTTTGACTTCTTTCAGTCAGCATTATGTTTGTGAGATTCATATACGTGGTTGTATGTATCAGTAATGTTTTTAAAAAAAATTATGATGTAATATTCTATTGTATCAATATATTCTAATATATTCTGTTGATGGGGATTTGGTTTGTTTCTAGTTTTTGTCTAACACAAAAAATGTCTAACACGAACATTCTCATACATGAGCCCATTTTCACTTAGCTTGCAAGTTACAAGGTTTAAAAAAAGCAGTTTCTAAAGATGACTTTATTCACTTTTCCTAAGTTTGAGATAATACCAACTTGTCACCTCAAATATTATTACTGCTACTGATGTGATTTTACTTGGAGAGTGTTAGAGGGGTTGGAGCTGGGGCTGGTGGTGACCCGGGGTAAAGCCCACTGTTGCATGGGGCAGACCACTTCTCTCCCCAGGCACAAGGTCCCTGAGGGGTCTTGGTGTAACATGGAGGGACATGTAAGTAACATTCTGGGTGTGTATGAGCTATTTCTCCTGTTCTTCTCTACTTGAGGACCTGCCCCTTTGCCTTTTATGCTTTACTAGTCTTAGCTATTATTTCTGTAGGGGCAGAAAGGGGTGATCCCTTCCTGACCCATCATAAGGGTTATGGCCAATACTCCTATAATAAAAGACAGATTAACAAGAGAAAAGCATAATACATTTATTTAATCAAAGTTTTAGGTGACATGGGAGCCTTCAGAAATGAAGACCCAAGGACCCAGGGGAAAACTATTTTTATGCTTAGATTTGATGAAGAATGAACAGCTGTGCAGAAATGTAATTGAACAAAAGGAGTATCATCTAATGGTCACAGACTGGGACTGGGGGGATCCCAGCAAGGCCTGGCCATATTCTTCTTGGTCTCTCTGTACAGCATTCCTTCCTCCCAGGTATAGGGCAGAACCTCTTCTGGAATGAGGGTCTTATAACCTACTATCAGATGAGATAGGTCAGAAAATTTCTTTTCCTTTTTTTTTTTTTTTGAGACAGTTTCTCACTGTCGCACAGGCTGGAGTGCAGTGGCACGATCTTGGCTCACTGCAACCTCTGCCTCCCAGGTTCAAGCTATTCTCCTGCCTCAGCCTCCCGAGTAGCTGGGATTACAGGCACACGCCACCAAGCCCGCCAAATTTTTTTTTGTATTTTTAGTAGAGACGGGGTCTCACCATGTTGGCCAGGTTGGTCTTGAATTCCTGACCACAGGTGACCCACCAGCCTTGGCCTCCCAAAGTGCTGGGATTATGGGCGTGAGCCACTGCGCCCAACCTTCTTCTCATTCTTTTAACCTTATTATCTCTTGTGTCAGTGTGGGTTTCCCTTTTAGCCCCTGCTCCTTTCTTTTTCTCTGTGTTGCCCTTTCTCTCAGGGTCCTTTTTGCTTCCTGTTGTCTCTTTCTGCTTCTCTAATGGTATGAGCTGATGGACTGGGACCCCAGCTGAGCTATATTAAAATATAAAATGTTATTACAAGGCCAGGAGCAGTGGCACATGCCTGTCATCCCAGCACTTTGGGAGGCTGAGGCGAGCAGATCACAAGGTCAGGAGATAGAGACAATCCTGGCTAATACGGTGAAACTCCATCACTGCTAAAAATACAAAAAATTAGCCGAGCATGGTGGCACGCGCCTGTAATCCTAGCTACTAGGGAAGCTGAGGCAGGAGAACTGCTTGAACCCAGGAGGCGGAGGTTGCAGTGAGCCGAGATCGTGCCACTGCCCTCCAGCCTGGGCAACAAAGTGAGACTCCATTTCAAACAAACAAACCAAAAAACAAAACAAAACAAAACAAGCAAACAAAAAAAGGTATTGCAATTAACAGTGAGACACAGAGAGAAATTTAAATTAAAGAGGAAGAATGGGACATTGAAAGACAAAAAAGGGAAGGCAAGAAGGGTGATGGGGAGACATGAGAGACACAGAGGAAGGAAGGGTAAGACTGGGCTGAGGCTCAGTGTCACGTGCATGTGAGATATGCGAAGGATGCTCCTTGAGATGGGCCAATCTTGGTTTCAATCTCAGTTTCGGAGGTTGTATGAATTTGGTTTCTTTCTTGGGCAGGCCAGCAGTTGGTTTGGGACTTTCCCTGGGTGGGAGAGCTGATGACTGGAGTCTTGTGCCCCAGACTCAGGGAAATACAGTCTTTATAGTGGTCTTTGTGGAGAAACTAGTGAAATCTCTGAAGCCTCCAAATGAGACTGAAATGACATTAGCTTCAAACTTGAACTTAGCCTCAAAACCTGAATTGGGATTTAATACCAACATCAACCCTAACCCAAATTTAACCTCAACCCAAATCACAACTCAAACTCAACCCCAACTGTAACCCTAACCTTAAATCTAAACACATCCCAATTAATAACCCCCTAAATAAAACTTCTCCTCTACCCCAACCCAACCCTGTTTCTAGGGCTAATCTTGAAACCAGTTTACCACCACTCCTAACACTAAACTTAAATCTGACTCTAAATGTAAGTCCAATCTGAGCCACAAGCCTAAAGTTGAACTTTATCCTGCTTTATGAATTATTCATCCATTCCTCCATTTAGTGAGTATCTGCGTGCCTAACACATGCTGGGCATTGTCCTAAGGCAGGAGGGACATGGAGGCAAAGGGATCAGAGAAGGTACCAGCACCTGTGGAGCTTGTATTCCAGTGAGGCCAGACGGAAAAGAAAGAAACTGAAGAAGAAATTGGTACTATGAGAAAATAAGACAGGCTGATGTTGTAAGAGTGGCAGGGAGCTACTTTTAAATACAGTAGTCAGCAAAATCCTCTTTGAGTGTTTGGGTGGCACTGGAGCTGAGACCCAAATGACAAAAAATAGTGACCAGGTAAAAGTTTGGGAGCAAAGCATTTCAGGTAAAGGGAGCAGCTACTGCAAAGGCTGGAAGGCGGAACCAAGCTGGGGGTGTTGACGACAAACAGAAGGCCAGTGTGGCTGGAGCAGAGAGAGAGACTGGGAGGCGGGTGGGAGATGAGGTCAGAGAGGAGGGCAGGGGCCAGGTCATGCAGGGCCATGCAAGAAGGGTAAAGCCTCTAGATTTCATCCAGCCACAGGAAGCCTTTAAAGGTCGTCAGAGTGTGTGGTGCGTGCATGCGTGCGTGTGTGTGTGTGTGTGTGTGTGTGTGTGTGTTGCAGGGGAGAGAGGGGGAGGGAGAGAGAGAGAGAGAGAGAAAGAGGGAGGTGAGCAGAGGTGATTGGATTTTTTTTTCTTTTGACATGGTGTCTTGCTCTGTGGCCTAGGCTGGAGTGCAGTGGCACCATCATAGCCCACTGCAACCTCAAAACCATGGGCTCAAGTCATCCTTCCACCTCAGCTTCCCAAGTATCTAGGACTACAGGTGTGTGCCACTGTGCCTGGCTAATTTTAAAAAATATTTTAAAATTTTTGTTGAGACAGGGTCTATGCTGCTCAGGCTGGTCTCGAACTCCTGGTTTCAAGTGATCTGCCCATCTTGGCCTCCCAAAGTTTTTTTTTGTTTGTTTGAGAGGCGGTTTCGCTCGTTGCCCAGGCTGGAGTGCAATGACTGATCTCATCTCACTGCAACCTCTGCCTCCTGGGTTCAAGCGATTCTCCTGCTTCAGCCTCCCAAGTAGCTGGGATTACAGGTGCATGCCACCATTCCCGGCTAATTTTTTGTATTTAGTAGAGATGGGGTTTCACCATGTTAGTCAGGCTGATCTCAAACTCCTGACCTCAGGTGATCCGCCTGCCTCAGCCTCCCAAAGTTTTGGGATTACAGGTGTGAGCCACCATGCTGGGCCAGCCTCCCAAAGTTTTGGGATTACAGGCATGAGTCACCACACTGGCCCTGGATTTTTTTTCTTTCTTTTTTTTGGAGACGGAGTCTCACTCTGTTGCCCAGGCTGGAGTGCAATGGCGTAATCTCAGCTCACTGCAACCTCTGCTGCCCGGGTTCAAACGATTCTCCTGTCTTAGCCTCCTGAGTAGCTGGGATTATAGGTGCATGCCACCATGCCTGGCTAATTTTTGTACTTTTAGTAGAGAAAGTACACCATCTTGGCCAGGCTGGTCTCGAACTCCTGACCTCAGGTGATCCACTTGCGTCGGCCTCCCAAAGTGCTGGGATTACAGGCGTGAGACACCGCACCCAGCCTTTTTTTTTTTTTTTTTTCTTTTAAGACAGAATCGCTCTGTCACCCAGGCTGGAGTGCAGTGGCACAATCTCGGCTCACTGCAACCTCTGCCTCCCAGGTTTAAGCAATCCACCTATGTCAGTCTCCCAAGTAGCTGGGATTATAGGTGCATGTCACCATGCCTGGCTAATTTTTGTACTTTTAGTATAGAAAGTACACCATGTTGGCCAGGCTGGTCTTGAACTCCTGACTTCAAGTGATCCGCCTGCCTCAGCCTCCCGAAGTGCTGGAATTACAGACATGTGCCACTGCACCCGGCCTGGTTTTTTTTTTCTAAGAGATGGAGTCTCACTTTTCTGCCCAGGTTGGAGTGCAATGGCACCATCATAGCTCACTGCAGCCTTCAACTCTTGGCCTCAGGCAATCCTTGCACCTTAGCCTCGCAAAGTGTTGGGATTACAGGCATGAGCCACTGAGCCTTGCCTGGACTTTTTTTTTTTTTTGAGATGGCGTCTCGCTCTGTTGCCCAGGTTGGAGTGCTACGGCATGATCTTGGCTCACTGCAACTTCCACCTCCCAGGTTCAAGTGATTCTCTTGCCTCGGCCCCCCGAGTAGCTGGGATTACAGGCATGCGCCACCGTGCCTGGCTAATTTTGGTATTTTTAGTAGAGATAGGGTTTCATCATGTTGGGCAGGCTGGTCTTGAACTCCTGACCTCGTGATCCACCCACCTCGGCCTCCCAAAGTGCTGGGATTATAGGCATAGCCAACGCGCCCAGCCTGGACTTGTTTTTAAAAGATCACTGTGGCTCCTGTGTTTAGGCTGGCTGGTAGGAGACAGGTGGCAGTGGCATTGATGGTGAAGAGAAAATAGTGGCAGCCATGGAGATGGAGAGAAGTAGACAAGTTTGGGATATATTATACATTCCAGGGGTAGAAACAACAGGACTAGATGATGGATTGATGGGTGGGAGATGTAGATACTGGGAGAGAAGCAGGATTCTGATGGATGGAAAAACTAAAAAATTCTATTTTGGGTGTGGTAAGTCTAAGTCTATTAGACATGCAAGTAGAGATGCCACTGGGCAGATACACATCTGGATTTCAGGGGCAAGGTCCAAGCTAGAGAAAGAAACCTGGGCATGGTCAGCATGAGGATGGTGTTTAAAGCCATGGAACTTATCTTGTGCATCCCTATAAGACCCCTTTGAGGCACTTGTTTCCCCTCACAATGGATGCAGTGCATCTTCCATTCTGAATTCCAGAGGCAACAACCTCCTGCTCCTAGAAGCTAAACTCTCCAGACTTAGTCTTCTGAATTCCCACTGGGATTTAACCTCCCTGGATTCAATTCCCTACCCCACAAGGACCCTTCTACCAATCCATTTCACAATATTTGGTGGAACTCTTCACATTTTCAAATCCTGTCTTCTATGTTTGAAAGCATTTTCCTCTGGGCATTTTGAAACCTGGCTTTCCCCTAATGATGCTACTCCTCTCTGTGGTGAAGGTTGCTCTTTCTTCGACCTCCATCACTAGGGGAATGAAGGCAGAAGAGAGGGGTCGTTATTTTCTCTCCCCCAGACCACTGATAAACTCCTCCTCATCTCCCAAAGCACGTGCCTTTTGCATTTGCCATGCTCTTCCTGTCTTCACAGCACAATCTTATCCATCAAAATATTTATTATGCTCTTAACAACTTGTATAACTAGCTCAGTCTTTCTCCACATCTTATCCCTACCATCATCCTTGTTTGTTTGTTTTTTGAGACAAGGTATTGCTCTGTCACCCAGGCTGGAGTGCAGTGGCGTGATCTTGGCTCACTGCAGCCTCGACCTCCTGGGCTCAAGTGATCCTCCCACGTCAGCCTCCTGAGTAGCTAGGACTACAGGCGCATACCACCGTGCCCGGCTAAGTTTTGTATTTTTTTTTTTTTTCCAGAGATAGGGTTTTG
This sequence comes from Homo sapiens, assembly GCF_000001405.40. NCBI lineage: Eukaryota > Metazoa > Chordata > Mammalia > Primates > Hominidae > Homo > Homo sapiens. The sequence continues at coordinate 2,864,006 of NT_167249.2, read as the reverse complement.
CTATGTTGCCTAGGCTGGTCTTGAACTCCTGAGCTCAAGCAATCCACCCGCCTCAGCCTCCCAAAGTGCTGGGATTACAGGCATGACCCACCGCACCCGGCCTCCTACCACCATCTTTAGTGACTTTAAAAGCCACAAAGATCGGCTGGGCGCAGTGGCTCACACTTGTAATCCCAGCACTTTGGGAGGCTGAGGCGGGTGGATCACGAGGTCAGGAGATCGAGACCATCCTGGCTAACAAGGTGAAACCCCGTCTCTACTAAAAATACAAAAACAAAATTAGCTGGGCGTGGTGGTGGGTGCCTGTAGCCCCAGCTACTCGGAAGGCTGAGGCGAGAGAATGGCATTAACCCGGGAGGCGGATCTTGCAGTGAGCCCAGATCACACCACTGCACTCCAGCCTGGGTGACAGAGCGAGACTTCGTCTCAGAGGAAAAAAATAAAAATAAAAAAAGAAGCCACACAGATCAGATGAGTCTTACAGTCTGGCCTCTCAATTCTCCAAGTTTCTCAAGTCTACTGGTTTTACAGCCTCTTCTTCCCTCCTCCATTTTAGCCACCCAGGAGTAAGGTTGTACCTCAAACCCCAGCATCACTTGGAAGAATTATGCCTTCAAGATCTTGATCTCTGAATTACCCTTCTCATCACAACCACTCACTTTTCACATCTCCCACTCTCTGCCTCCCCTTGAATCAGTTCTTTATTCTTACCAAGACTTCCGGCTGCTTCTGCTTTCCTGGTTTTGCTTGTTGATTTAACATGTACTGCATGGTCAACAATTTCAACTCCACTTTGTCTGCATTTTAGAATCTCTTACCGCCGGGCACCGTAGCTCACACCTGTAATCCCAGCACTTTGGGAGGCCAAGGTGGGCGGATCACCTGAGGTCAGGAGTTCGAGACCAGCCCGGCCAATGTGGTGAAGCCCCATCTCTACTAAAAATACAAAAATTAGCTGGGCGTGATGGTGGGCAACTGTAATCCCAGCTACTCTGGAGGCTGAGGGAGGAGAATCGCTTGAACCCGGGAGGCAGAGGTTGCAGGGAACCAAGATTGAGCCATTGCACTCCAGCCTGGGCAACAAGAGTGAAACTCTGTCTCAAAAATTGACTTGGGTAAACTAAGTGGTCTCATTCTTGGGGCTTTGTCTTAGGCTGCCAAGCGCTGCAGTAGACAGCTGAGTCACCATAAGAGGCCTATAACTAATCCTGGCCAGCTAATCTCAGAGAGTCATCAGTGTTCTTGGACACAACTTTTACTCATTCTTTGTTGACTCCCCATTATACTACTGTGCGTGATGTTCTAAATCTCCGTGCCTCTGATGTTCTTCACTCTCATCTATTAATATTTCATTGAGCTTAAGGCCATCAAGTGTGGATCTCACTTCCCTCTTTTTCCTTAATTTTGTTATATTTAATCTTTCCTTACATACTGACTCACAGTACTTTTTCTTGTTTCCAAGACTGATCCTTTTATCTGTACTCTATCCCACTTCCTCTATCTTTACTATATTCTCTCCCCACTTCTTGCTTATGTTTTCACTATCTCTCCCTTTCTTGTTTGTTTTTGGGATAGGCTTGCTCTGTTGCCCAGGCTGGAGTGCAGTGGCGCGATCTCGGCTCACTGCAACCTCTACCTCTCGGGTTCAAGTGATTCTCCTGCCTCAGCCTCCTGAGTAGCTGGGGTTACAGGCGTGTGCCACCACGCCCAGCTAATTTTTGTATTTTTAGTAAAGACAGCATTTCACTATGTTGGCTAGGTTGGTTTTGAACTCCTGATATCTATAGTCTGCCCACCTCAGCCTCCCAAAGCGCTGGGATTACAAGGGTGAGCCACCGCACCTGGGCTTTTTTTTTTTTTTTTTTTGAGACTGAGTCTCGCTCTGTCACCCAGGCTGGAGTGCAGTGGTGTGATCTCGGCTCACTGCACCCTCTGCCTCCTGAGTTCAAGCGATTCTCCCACCTCAGTGAATAGCTGGGACCACAGGCATGTGCCACCACGCCTGGCTAATTTTTGTATCTTTCGTAGAGATGCGGTTTTGCCATGTTGGCCATACTAGTCTTGAACCCCTGGCCTCAAGTGATCTGCCCACCTTGGCCTCCCACAGTGCTGGGATTACAGGTGTGAGCCACTGCACCTGGCCTATCTTTGTCTCTTTAAGCATCTTCATTTTACCTTCAATTTTATTTCTTGAAAATAAACAACAAAAAAGATCCTTCCTTGGAATATTTCTCCCTCAAATGTCCAGTCTATCTCACCTTCCGTTTTCGTGTGATGTCTCAAAAGACTAGCCCCCTTAACGAACCACTTTTTCAGGAACTGGTAAAATTTCCCTCAACTGTAAAATCTGTGGGTAGAACTAAGAGATGATTCTCAGTTATTCTGTGTTCACCATTCTGACCTCATGCCCACCACCTCCTTTTCCTCACCTCCCACTCATTCCTCAACCTATGTAAAGTGATTTCTGCCCCTCTATTAAATGGAAACGGTTTTCTCAAAATTTGTAATCGTCTAGTTCCTGAACCCAACAATCTTTTCAACCCTCATTTACTAGACCTCTTTGAAGCCTCAAACATGGCTGCCCTGTCTCTGCTTGGCATCCCCCGCCCCCCGTGCCCTGCTTCTCTGACTGCTCCCCAACCTCTCCTTTATTGGTTCTCTTCCTTTGATCATGCTCAGGGCTCTTCTGGTCACTCCGCCCCCTCCCTTGAAGATCCTGTCCACTCAAAGGCTCAACCTCTACTGGGAAGGGAATGATGCCCAAATCTGTTCCTCCAGACCCAACTTCTCTTGAGCTCCAGACCTGCTTTCTGGAAATCTCCACCTGAGAGTCATGCTGGTACCTCAAACCTTCATTGAGCACTTTATTACCCTAAGCAGGCATACCTATACATTATAACTATAATGTATAGTTATTATTTGTATACTGTCTCATTAGACTGCAAGTTCTATGAAGGCAGTGACTTTATTATTTATACCTATTGTCAAGCAGTGCCCTGCTCCTAATAGGTGCTTAATAATTTTTTTTTTTTTTGGATACAGAGTCTTGCTCTGTCACCCAGACTGGAGAGCAGAGGCATGATCTCAGCTCACTGCAACCTCTGCCTCCCGGGTTCAAGTGATTCTTGTGCCTCAGACACCTGAGTAGCTGGGATTACAGGTGCCCAAGACCACACCCAGCTAGTTTTTATATTTTTAGTAGAGACGGGGTTTCACCATGTTGGCCAGGCTGGTCTCGAACTCCTGGCCTCAAGTGATCCTCCCAAAGTGCTCCCACCTTGGCCTCCCAAAGTGCTGTGATTACAGGAGTGAGGTGCCTGGCCACCACCACCCACCTTTTGGACAGACGTTGAGAGGATTTGTGGTGTTAGGAAAAGGGCTGGTTAACACACAGTAGGTATTAATTCACAAGATGATGGCCGTTTTCTTACTCCTTGTCTGTACTGCAGCACTCACCTGTTCTCCCTCTTTTTCATCGTCACCTGGACCACTGCCCACAGGATGCAGTCCAATCTCTGACCTTGACTTTCTGTGGTCCTTTCTTCATCACATGTTCCCTCACACCTGTGCTTCTTCTCCCTCAGGACGCTCCTTTCCCAGAACATACTGCATTTTCTGACTTGTCAGGCTCGCTCAAGACGTGTTATTCGCCTATGGAACCTTTCCATCCACCTCCACCTAGTGAACCCATTCATTAGAGCAAGTTCAAATGCTGTCTCCTCAGAGGCTCCCTGGATGCTTTCAAATGGACTTAATCTCCCCTCTTTCTGTAATCATCTTAAAGTTTACTCATCATGCCTTGAATCAGTTAACTAGGTATGGGTCTGCCTCCCCACTAGATTGTAAGCTTGAAGCAGGGTTTAAATTTATCTTTGGGCTACATAATGCTCAGTTGACCTACACTGAACAGAGTCCCTCCCAGATCCTTTTCCTAACTTAATCCAAACCTGCCCCAACCTGAGTCCTCAAACTGACCCTCTTCAATCTCATTATTCTTTTCCAGGCCTGTTCCTCCAATTGAATCCCAATGCATCCTCCACTGAGACTCAACTCCTGGTGCCAGCTCTAGAGAGCAGAGATACACTTCCACCTACCCACTGTTTCATGGCAGGCACTGAGTCACCCCTTGGGAATCCCTGGCCCCTGTCCCTGCCCCCACCATGCTGGACAGGATGCCTGCTGCCTGCCCCAAGGGGTCAGAGGAAGCCAGGGCCTCTAGGGCTCAGTATTTTTATCAGCCTAGGAAACAAGAGACACAGAAGCGGAAACCATGTGGTCAGAGAAAGTGAACAGCCCTTATCTCAGGGGAACCCCCACCAGGGCTGGGGGCCAGACACCAGGAAGGGACGTTGAAAAGACTGTGGTCCGGTGGGCCCAGGTTTCAGGGCTTATTTTGCTTTGGTTTTATGTAACTCTTGCAGAAGGGGAAATGATGTGCTTAAAAACCAGTGAGAAATCTCCTGGGTGGAGGAGCAAATTTGGTCACCAGAGTTTTCTGTAATTTACTTCTCAACCTCCAGCTTAGGGATCCTAACCCCAACTCCCCCCAAGGCCAAACCTGGACTCTTTGCATGCCACTTCCGAAAAGCTCCAGCCTGTGAGAGGAACCGGACGCCAGGGTCACACACAGCTTGAAGTCTCTTCTCTGAATCACAGCAGCTTCCTCTCACAGGATCTTTCTCACCAGCCCTTCCCCCTCCTGCACCCTGAACATCTGCCTGGTCCTTCAGAGGCCTTGGTCTCTTCCGAACTTCAGGCTGTCTTATTCAAGGATCTCATGCCCACCCATGTTCCCGTGTTCCCAGAGGCGTGCCCTCCCTGTCTTCTACTGCCTTCCACTTCCACTCCTGGGATTCTCCTGTAGAGAACTGGGCTCAAAACCTGAAAGATAAGTTTCTGATTGATAAGATGCTCTGGTGTAACTATGCAGACAGTGCACTCACCAGCACATGTCTGTACTCTCCTTGCAGCCCTGTCCTTTCTTTTTGCCAAGTTCCCAGTTGTGTCCTGGGCGATGGTAGTGGGGTCTACCTATCTTAGTTTCCAGGGAGCCCCCCTCTCTCCTCCGTGGGAATCCCAGACTCTCCCTCCACCTCTCAGGACTTCAACTACTGGTTCTTGGAAAAGGAAATGTTTATAGGGAAGGCCATGCCTGGGCTGCCCAGAGATGAACTCAGGTTTAGGATGGGGCAGCAGCTGAATGGCGGAGATGAGGATTGGGGCCCTGGAGGAAGAGAGATACAACTGACAAGCTAGAGGGCAGAGATGGATGGAGCCAGCAGCCTGGCTGGCTTTGGGTGTGGAGCTCCAGTTGCCCAAGAACAGACAACCCATGTTACATAATTTTGCTCTTTCCACCTCCTTCCCCTGCTCCTAATTTTAGCAACTGAAATTCCACTCCCCCACAGGGCTCTTCCTCCAGCCATTCTGCTTGTATTCCCCATCCTCCCCCAGCCTCCTCATGGCCCCCCAGCGCCGGCTACCCCCAACTCGCTCATTCAGTGACTCAGCAAAGGGAAAGCCCTGTGTTGGGGGAAGGGGGTGTTAAGTGGGGAGGAGGATGTGGTTCAGCTTGGGGAGCCAGGGAGGGGAGGGAAACTGGTTTTGTTCCCCTTTTTGCCTCTGTTCGCATCTATTTCTCCAGCCACAGATTGCAGGGTGGACAAGACCCCAGTGTAGGGAGTGGAGTGAGACTGGATGGCAAACTGGGCCTTCTTAGGGCTGAACTGAGGGGGCATGCAGAGGCTTCTTGCCTCCAGCTCAGAGCCCGTGTTAGCGTGTGCGTGTGTGTTGCAGGTGTGTGGGAGCTGTGGGTTTCAGCAGGCGGGGCGGGAAAGGAGATGTCATGGGTGATGAAAACCACAGCAATGGAAAAAGACAGAGGAGACACTGGGAGTGAGATGTGGAACCAGGTCTTATTAGGAAACGGCAGAGTCAAGGAGCAGTGGTGGCGGCCCGCACCCCCCACCCCCACTTGTTACAACTTTCGCTCCCACCCATATCCTCTGCTGAGCAGCACCTGGCTCTTCCTTGTGGTCCCCATCCTTTCCCTTACCCTTCCTTCTGCCTCATCCTGAGGCTGCAGCCCCGAAGTTTCTTGCTTCTTCCCTAGGGTCACTTGAGGGCCTCTGCATGGCGATTCAGGGCCTGAGAAAGGGCTGTCACTGCTCCCATCACACGGCCCAGCTCCCAGGTCTCAATCTGGCTTCGGAATCGCTGCAGGAAGCGGTCAGGGTGCCAGCGGACCTGCTGGACCCTCAAGTACCTCCTCAGAGCCCCCTGTTCCTCCAAAGGGGGGCCCCTGGCCACCAGGGCTGCAGCCATGGCCTCTGGGTCCCCTCCCCCAGGGCAGGGCCAGGGCACATCACCAAATCGCCAGAGGCTGCCCCTCCCCGCTCCTCTGGGGTGCTCTTCCCTGGGCCCGGCCCTGGTTGGCTTGGGTTCTCGGTCCCCTAGAGCCTCCTGCGCCCTCCTGGCTCGGCTCTCACGCAGCTCTTCCTCCTTGGCCCGGGCTCGCTCCCTGAAGAGCCGCTGCTCCTCCTCCTGCTGTCGCCAGCTCTGGCTGGAGCCCTCAGCACGTGGGGGTCGACAGGATCCCTCTGCTTCTCGCTGCTGCTGCTGGCACTTCTGGGCATGTTCCCGGGCCAGGCGATCTGACCAGGCTGAGAAGGACTCAGGTTCCTGGGTTTCATGGGAGGCATCACCTGTTTGGGAGGGTGGGATGGGGGTAGTTGGAGAGAGGCTGTGAGAAGGTGATGGGCCCCAAGAAGCAGGGAAGCACAGAGGAGGGGGCAGAGGAGCCTAGTGTGACGCATTCATGCAGATGGAAAGCAGCCAGTGGGGAAGGGCAGCTGTGGATAGCAGTGGACTTCTCACCTTCAAACCTCCCCATGACTTCCTGCCACTCGTCCTCCAGCTCACCCTGGAGCTTCTGTCTCCATTCCCGCTCCTTGGAGGCATCATCTTCTTCCTCCTCTTCAGCAGAATCCCAGGGGGGTCCCCAGCCCAAAATTTGGCCAGGGGTCTCCCCATCCTTATTCTTTATTCCCATGGCGGAGGGACAGCGGCTTAGCAGCGGGAGGAAGAAATCGGTGTAGGCTGTTGGTGGGAGAGCAGGGAGCAGAAGTTAGCTGGGACTCCCACTCCTCGGCAGAGCTGCCATCTTGAATCCTGCTGGTCACTCACTCCCTTGGTCTTAAAGCAATGGAAGGGTGGCTCACATGGATGCCTCCTGGGTATTAGGAAATAACCATCACTGATAAATACAGACTGATAGTTTACCACATGCATGGTAAGTGTGGTAGTTTAAAATATTCTCGGCCAGGCGCGGTGGCTCACGCCTGTAATCCCAGCACTTTGGGAGTCCGAGGCGGGCGGATCACGAGGTCAGGAGATCACGACCATCCTGGCTAACATGGTGAAATCCCATCTCTACTAAAAAATACAAAAAATTAGCCAGGCCTGGTGGCGGGCGCCTGCAGTCCCAGCTACTCGGCAGGCTGAGGCAGGAGAATGATGTGAACCCGGGAGGTGGAGCTTGTAGTAAGCCGAGATCGTGCCACTGCACTCCAGCCTAGGTGACAGAGCAAGACTCCGTCTCAAAAAAAAAAAAAAAAAATTCTTACTTGTGTCTCCACAAACTATTTCAGCATCCTAGAAGTTCTACCATGCCAACTGACATTTTCTGACCTGCCTCCAGCCACCAAGGCAGTGCCCAAATTCTTTGACTATGTATTCCACTTTTCACTTAAAAATATTGTCACTATATAAATCCCTTATTTTCTCACCTGAAACCATATATCAGACTGGGAAAATATCTGAATGCTCTACTCTGGGCCATTAATAAATACACAAATATGTAATACTTATCTTTTATTATCACTTATCAATAAACTGAGTAAAATAAATGTTTTCAGGGGAATTTCTCTCAGCCAGCCTTACCAGGGGATGATGGGAGAGGGGTGGGGAGGTGAACCGGCAACAACTATGGCCGGCGGCAGAGCAAGCTCTTTCCAAATGACTGCTGACCTAGGGCAGGGGAAAGGGAGTGGAGTGTGACAGAGGGTCTCACCCATGGGCTGAGAGAAAACAGGAGAGGAACCGACGTTCCTGAACTCCCCTTTTCTTCAGTCCCAACCTTGCTGCATCTGGCCCAAGGTTAGCTGAGTGCCATGCTACTTCCTTCACTGCCAACCCAGGCATCCTGGCCAGGCCCACCTGCTGTGGCCACCAACCACCTCTTTCACTTGGGGGATAGAAGAAGGGGAGGGAGGCAGCCTTCCTTCCTGTGGACCTACTTTCTTTCCCCGGGGTAAGAGGAAATGGGCTAGCAGTCCTTAAATCTTTATTTGGTAGTGCTGGAAAGTACTGTTTACCTGGCAGAAAGCTGGAATAGGGGAAGGCAAGGCCAGGAAGGCAAGAAGACAGAATGGCCCAGGTGTGGCTGGCGAAGGCCCACCATCCCTACCCAAATCACATCAGGGTTGGTGGGGGGGGGCACTTCTCCCTAGTGCTGCTGTGACCTGTCACAGACCCTCTCAACTTGTCCCACCCAGAAAGTACCTGGTCCTGTCTCTCATTCGCTTGTTCCCCACCTGAGCTCAGGTGGTGAGCATGGTGAGTGCTCAGGCTTGCATGGGAGGTTTACATTCATAGGTTTTAAGGAGTAGGGCCTCCAACTATAAAAACATAATATTAAACAGCCACTACAACTGAGGCATGTGTTTGAAAAAAGCTGGCTACAAAACTGTAGAGAGGATCAGATGTGGCCAGGCACGGTGGCTCACGCCTGTAATCCCAGCACTTTGGGAGGCTGGGGGGGGGGACAATGGATCACAAGGTCAGGAGTTCAATACCAGCCTGGCCAAGATGGTGAAAACCCGTCTTTACTAAAACAAACAAACAAAATATATATATAATTATATTTTATATTATATATAAAATTAGCCAGGCGTGGTGGCTGACGCCTGTAATCCCAGCTACTTGGGAGGTTGAGGCAGAGAACTGCTTGAACCTGGGAGGCGGAGGTTGCAGTGAGCCGAGATCGCGCCTCTGCATTCCAGCCTGGGTGACAGGGTGAGACTCTATCTCAAAAAAAAAAAAAAAAAAAAAAAAGAGAGAGAGAGAGAGGATCAGATAATAACTGTCTAAAACAAGAGACCAAATCCTATGGTTGGAAAAAAAGAGGCCGGGCGTGGTGGCTCATGGCCTGTAATCCCAGCACTTTGGGAGGCTGAGGCGGGTGGATCACCTGAGGTCAGGAGTTCGAGACCAGCCTGGCCAACATGGTGAAACCCTGTCTCTACTAAAAATACAAAAATTAGCCAGGCGTGGTAGCATGTGCCTGTAATCCCAGCTACTTGGGAGGCTGAGTCAGGAGAATCACTTGAACCTGGAAGGCAGAGGTTGCAGTGAGCTGAGATCATGCCAGTGCACTCCAGCCTGGGCAACAGAGGGAGACTCCCATCTCAAAAAAAAAAAAAAAAAAAGAAAAAAAATAGACTGGCAAAAAATATGTAAAAATTCTAGCCTATGGGTGGTGGGGCTGTAGGTGGCTTTTCCCCCAATTTTATTTGACATTTTAATGTGAAAGGGATATAATTAAGTTGAAATTTTCTTTTTAAAGAAGGACGAACAAATTTGATAACTATTAACAGTGTACTGTGATCCCTTCCAGTCCCACCTTGGTGTACCTAAAAGCATACATATGACACATTTATTTGGAGATATGTAACCATACTACAAATATTGCTTGGCAACTTGCTTCTTTCATTTAACATCTCATTTATATTTTTCCACAGGAATATATACAGTCTACCTCATACTTTTTGACGACTTTATAATTAGTGTTCCACTGTGTGTACAAAACAAATCTCCTTACCCCAATATCGATAGACTTTGTTTCAAAAAATGTTCAGCCTCATGAGTATCTTACAGTCTTTCTGTGGGGGTAGATTTTCATAAGTGGAATTTCTGAGTCAAAGGACATGCGCAATTTGGTCAAACTGCTCTCAATAAGTTTGTGCCAATATACAAGTGTGCCTATGTCTTCCTTTACCAAAATTGAATATCATCAACCCTTTTAATTTTGCCAGTTGGATAGATTAAAAAATTATTTTATTAACAATGTTTTTTTCTTTTTCATGTCTTTTGGCTATTTGTATTTTTTGTGAATGAATTGCTCATATTCTTTATCCACTTTTTCTTTGGAAATTATATATATTGATATGAGGGTTCTATATACTGTATGTGTTATACATATTGCAAACATTTTCTTCTATCTATCTTTAAAAAAGCTTTTTTTTTCTTTTTGAGACAAGGTCTCACCCTGTTGCCCAGGCTGCAGTGCGGTGGCATGATCTTGCTCACTGCAAACTCTGCCCCACCTGGGCTCAAGCGATCCTCCCACCTCAGCCTCCTGAGTAACTGGGACTACAGGACGACAGCCACGTACCACCACGCCTGGCTAATTTTGTATTTTTTGTACAGACCAGGTCTCACTGTGTTGTTCAGGCTGGTCTTGAACTCCTGGCTCAAGTGATCTGCCTACCTTGGCATCCCAAAGTGTGGGATTACAGGTGTGAGCTACCGCACCCGGCCTAAAATTTTCATGTAGTTAAATCTATATCAATATATTATTTTCTGACTTTTTATTTCACTTCACTCTTAGGAAGGCTCTATTTTAAGATTATAAAACATTCTCTGCATTTTCTTCTACTACTTTAGATGTATACTCATTTTTATTTTTAGAAATTAAAAAACTCGGCCAGGCGCGGTGGCTCATGCCTGTAATCCCAGCACTCTGGGAGCCCAAGGTGGGTGGATCATGAGGTCAGGAGTTCAAGACCAGTCTGGCCAAGATGGTGAAACCCCGTCTCCACTAAAAATACAAAAATTAGCCTGACGTGGTGGCGGATGCCTGTAATCCCAGCTACTTGGGAGGCTGAGGCAGAGAACTGCTTGAACCCGGGAGGCAGAGGTTGCAGTGAGCCAAGATTGCGCGACTGGACTCCAGCCTGGGTGACAGAGTGAGACTCTGTCTCAACAACAACAAAAAAGAAATTAAAAAACTCTCAAAAATACAAAGTATAATACAATACACAACCCCATTCCTACCACAGGGTTTGTTAATGTACTGTCATGTTTGTAGTATAATTTATTTTAAGGAAATAAAATCATCACAGATAAAGGTAGTTTACCGTGATACCGCCTTCCAAGTTTCATTCCTCCCCAGGCCATCTGTCCCATGAATTTGGTGTGTACCTTCCTGTCATATTCAGGTATTTAATCTGCTGGAATTTACTTTTTGATTAGGTGTGAGGTGGGACTCTTGTTTTTCCCTAGATGAGCCAAATGTTCCAATATTATTTATAAAATAGTTCACCTGGTCAGGCACAGTGGCTCATGCCTGTAATCCCAGCACTTTGGGAAGCTGAGGTGGGTGGATCACCTCAGGTCAGGACAGGAGTTTAAGACCAGCCTGGCCAACACGGTGAAACCCCCATCTCTACAAAAATACAAAAATTAGCTGGGCATGATGGCAGGTGCCCAGCTACTCAGGAGGCTGAGGCAGGAGAATTGCTTGAACCCGGGAGGCGGAGGTTGTAGCAAGCTGAGATTGCGCCATTGCACTCCAGCCTGGGTGACACAGCGAGACTCTGTCTCGGAAAAAAAAAAAAAAAAAAGTTCACCTTTCTCCAGTATTAGAAATGCCCCCTTTAGGCCTGGCGCGGTGGCTCACGCCTCTAATCCCAGCATTTTGGGAGGCCGAGGCGGGCGGATCATGAGGTCAGGAGTTCGAGACCAGCCTGGCCAACACAGTGAAACCCTGTCTCTACTAAAAATACAAAAAATTAGCTGGGCGTGGTGGCGGGCGCCTGTAATCCCAGCTACTTGGGAGGCTGAGGCAGGAGAATGGCTTGAACCTGGGAAGCGGAGCTTGCAGTGAGCCGAGATCACACTACTGCACTCCAGCTTGGGCGACAGAATGAGACTCCATCCCCCACTTCGCCAAAAAAAAAAAAAAAAAAAAAAAAAAAGAAATGCCGCCTTTATAGCGATTTACCAGATCAACCGTTCTCAATGCTCTTTAATACGCTGGAGTTTCATACTAAGAAAAATAAACATAAAAACATTTTGGCCAGGCGCTGTGGCTCACGCCTGTAATCCCAACACTTTGGGAGGCTGAGGTGAGCAGATCACAAGGTCAAGAGATCGAGACCATCCTGGCTAACATGGTGAAACCCCGTGTCTACTAAAAATACAAAAAATTAGCCAGGCGTGGTGGCATACGCCTACAGTCCCTACGCCTATAGTCCCAGCTACTTGGGAGGCTGAGGCAGGAGAATCTCTTGAACCTGGGAGGTGGAGGTTGCAGTGAGCCGAGATTGTGCCACTGCACTCCAGCCTGGGCGACAGAATGAGACTCCTTTTCAAACAAAACAAAACAAAACAAAACAGAAAACAAAAACAAAACCAAAAGACATTCTGTGGGATGGGCACGGTGGCTCATGCCTATAATCCCAACATTTTGGGAGGCTGAGGTGGGTGGATCACTTGAGGTCAGGAGTTTGAGACCAGCCTGGCCAACATGTTGAAACCCCATCTCTACTAAAAACACAAAAATTAGGTCGGGCATGGTGGCTCATGCCTGTAATCCCAGCACTTTGGGAGGCCGAGGCAGGTGGATCATCTAAGGTCAGGAGTTCGAGAGCAGTCTGGCCAACATGGTGAAACCCCATCTCTATTAAAAATACAAAAGTTAGTCGGGCATGGTGGCAGGCTCCTGTAGTCCCGGCTACTCAGGAGGCTGAGGAAGGAGAATCACTTGAACCCAGGAGGCGGAGGTTGCAGTGAGTCAAGATACTGCCACTGCACTCCAGCCTGGGGAACAGAGGGAGACTCCGTCTCAAAAATAAATAAACAAATAAAAATTTAAAAATTAATAAATAAAAATAAAAAAATTAGCTGGGCATGGTGGTGTGTGCCTGTAATCTCAGCTACTTGGGAGGCTGAAGCAGGAGAATCGCTTGAACCCAGGAAGCAGAAGTTATAGTGAGCCAAGATCATGCCACTGCACTCCAGCCTGGGCGACAAAGCAAGACTCCGTCTCAAAAGGAAAAGAAAAAGGAAGCTGGAAGCTGAATGAGATGGGCCTTTCAACCAAGGAGTTAGAAGGCCATCTGGTGGCAGGGCTGGCAGAGGACCAGGAGTAAATAAGGCCAGAGAGGACACCAGGGTCTGGGAGTGAAGGCACTGAGCTTGGGTCCCCCTTTGGAAGACAATGACCTGAGAGCTGTGAGATTTCAGACAAGTTCCCGAACCTTTTGGGCCCTGCTTTCCTCATCTGTAAATGGGATAATATCAGTCTCACCAGCTTCTTAAAATTCAATACAATGGAGTTGGGTGTGGTGGCTCACGCCTCTAGTCCCGGCACTTTGGGAAGCCGAGGTGGGCAGACTGTTTGAACTCAGGAGATGCAGAACAGCCTGGATAACATAGCAAAACAGTCTCTACCAAAAATACAAACAATTAGCTGGGCATGGTGGTGTGTGCTTGTAGTCCCAGCTACTAGGGAGGCTGAGGTGGGAGGACTGCTTGAGCCCACGAGGTAGAGGCTGCAGTGAGCCATGATTGCACCACTGCACTCCAGGCTGGGAGACAGAATGAGACCCTGTCTCAAAACAAACAAGCAAACAAACAATAAAGGAAATCCCTACCACACTATCAGGGGCATTTTGGCTGAGCGCGGTGGCTCACGCCTGTAATCCCAGCACTTTGGGAGGCTAGGCTGGCAGGTCACCTGAGGTCGGGAGTTTGAGACCAGCCTGACCAACACGGAGAAACCGTCTCTACCAAAAATACAAAATTAGCCGGGCGTGATGGTGCATGCCTGTAATCCCAGCTACTTGGGAGGCTGAGGCAGGAGAATCTCTTGAACCCAGGAGGCAGAGGTTGAGGTGGGCTGAAATCGCGCCATTGCACTCTAGCCTGGGCAACAACAGGGAAACTCCATCTCAAAAAAACAAAACAAAACAAAAAACAAAACTCCCATTTTTGCGAGGCAAATTGGGCTCACAGAGGTAAGCTGCATGTCCCTGTTGATGGCAGAGCTGGGGTCTGGATGCAGGTCTGCTTCGGGGTAATCCGCTCTTTTGCCTTCCAGGGTCCTGCCTCTTACAATATGAGCTGTCAAGTTAGATGCCTGCACTCAGTAAACCTACTCTGTTTTAAGTAAAAACAACAAGAAACAAATCTGAATATGCTAGCCTATCTCAGGTACGTTAAAGGAAATTTTTAAATAGGGGGTTTTTTGACCATTTGGGGGAGTTTTGGGGGAGGGGCCTTCTGTCTATACTTGAGCTGGGGGATGTTAGGGTTGTTCATCTGGATCTAGAGGTTTTCCTGTAATGTTCTTACTCCAGAAGGAAATCTCTAGATGGGGAAAGAAGGTTTCAGCTTTTATTCTAGTAAGCAGGGCTCTACCCATAAAGAGCTGCTTCCACCACTCTTTTTTTTTTTTTTGAGACGGAGTCTTGCTGTGTTGCCCAGGTTGGAATGCAGTAGTGCAATCTCGGCTCACCACAACCTCTGTCTTCCGGGTTCAAGTGATTCTCCTGCCTCAGCCTCCCAAGTAGCTGAGACTACAGGTGTGTGCCACCATGCCTGGCTAATTTTTGTATTTTTAGTACAGATGGGGGTTTCACTATGTTGGTCAGGCTGGTCTCGAACTCCTGACCTCGTGATCTGACTGCCTTGGCCTCCCAAAGTGCTGGGATTACAGGCATGACCCACCGCACCTGGCCTCCACCACTATTATAATATCACCAGGTTCCCCATTTGAATCCTTCAGTGCCAAAGGTTTTGCAGAATTCAAATGTTTTTGGGACTTGATAGGGCTGACCTAAAAGTACACTCACTCTATATTAGGTAGCCCAGGAGGGCCTAGGCAGCCCAAGAACCAAACACATGAGTGTTTCTGCAGGGAAATGTATGAATATTGACATCAGTAGGATGAAAATAAATAATAGTCTTACTTTAGTTCAGATTAGGTTTCTGTCACCAAATGAATTTTGGTGGCAGCCTGATGAAAAATGTTGGTTCTCAGAGTGTTTTTGAGTTTAGAATTGTGGTTAAGGGAGTATGGACCTGTTGATAACAAAAACAGGAACAAGGCGAGGTGTGGTGGCTCACACCTGTAATCCCAGCACTTTGAGAGGCTGAGGTTGGTGGATCACCTGAGGTCAGGCATTCGAGATCAGCTTGTCCAACATGGCGAAAACCCATCTCTTCTAAAAATATAAAAATTAGCTGGGCGTGGTGGCATGCGCCTGTAATCCTAGCTACTTGGGAGGCTGACGCATGAGAATCACTTGAACCTGGGAGGTAGAGGTTGCAGTGAGCCAGGATCGCACCATTGCATTCCAGCCTGGGCAAGAAGAGTGAAACTTCATAAAAAACAAAAACAAAAACAAAAAACAGAGAAACAGGAACAACAATCGCCAGCATATACCAAGTGCTTATCGTGTGTGCCAGGTACTCTAATTATGTACTATGTCAGTTGATTCTCAAAACATATATGGCACAACATGGGTACTCTGAACATGGGCACAATCAATGTACAATGCTATAATGTATAACACAGGACAATGTAGCTGTTAAAAGCATGGACACTCTATCTAGTCCATCTGGGTTATAATCTCTGCTCTACCAGTGAATAACTGTAACTCTGGCAAATGACTTCTCTATGCCCTGTTTCCTCAGCTGGGAAATGGGGGATAATATCAGTACTCACCTCCTAAGATTGTTGTGAGGATTAAATGTGTTACTTTATAAGAAATGTCTGGCACATAGCAAAGGTTGTTATTATTTTAATTTTTACACATGGGCAAACTAAGCCTCAAGTAACCTGTCCAAGAATACGTAGCTATGAAGTGTGGAGCTGGGATTTGGAGCTGGGGTTTGAATCCAGGCAATCTAACTCCAGAGCCTACCTTCTATGCTACTTTTTGGCTACGAGCAAACAATCTGTCAAGAAACAAAGTAGCTACTAATCTAAACAGATGTGAAATTTGAAGACCAGTTGATCTTTGGGGAATGTTGGGTTCTTCAGACAATG